>NC_000010.11:2737272-2888787 GCF_000001405.40 Homo sapiens | reverse complement strand
TGTATATGTGTGTGTGCTTGTGTGTGGTGTGTGTGCGTGTGTATGTACGTGTGTCGCTGCATGAGTATGTGTGTCTGCAGCTTTGGGCTGCCCCTTGTGTGTGATGTGTGTGCACGCATATGTGTGTGTGTATGTGTGTGCTTGTGTGTGCATGTGTATAAGTATGTGCATGTGTGTGTGTATGTATGTGCTTGTGTGTGTGAGATGTGTGCACATGTATATGTGTGTGCTTGTGTGTGCAAGTGCATGTGTGTGTATATGTGTGTGCGTGTATATGTGTGTGCGCTTGTGTGTGGTGTGTGTGCGTGTGTATGTATGTGTGTCGCTGCATGTGTATGTGTGTCTGCAGCTTTGGGCTGCCCCTTGTGTGTGATGTGTGTGCACGCATATGTGTGTGTGTGTGCTTGTGTGTGCATGTGTATAAGTATGTGCATGTGTGTGTGTATGTATGTGCTTGTGTGTGTGAGATGTGTGCACATGTATATGTGTGTGTGCTTGTGTGTGCAAGTGTATATGTGTGTGTATATGCGTGTATATGTATGTGTGTATATATGTGTGTATGTATGTGATGTTTGCGTGTATACACAAACACATGCTTTGGATTTATTTTGTAAACAATAGCCATAACCTTGGAATGTTTATCACACGTTGTTATGTTAAAGCTTTTGTCTACATTGCTTCATGAAATCCATGTTTTCCCTATTAGTTAAGTGCTACTATTATTTATTATTAGATTTAGCTTACAGATGAAGTGAGGCACAAAGCGATGAACTAATTTATCCAAAGTCAGAAGGATGTCAGGGGACATAGTGTTAACCCAGGTGTCTCTGACCCTAGAGCAGCAGTTCTCAACTGAGGGAGAGGCTGCCCCTCTGGGGACATTTGGTGACATCTGTTGGCATTTTTGGTACTTACAACTGAAGAGCGTTACTGGCACCAGGTGGATGGAGGCCAGGAAGCTGCTGAGAGTCCTACAGTGCACAGGACAGCACCCCACAGAGTCATCCGGCCTCCAGTGCCATTAGCAGTGGCGAGGCTGAGAAACCTTGCTCTAAAGCACATCAAGATCTTTTCATTTTTTAGTGTAAGGAAGCAACAAAGTAAGACATGTCGGTGGCTGCAGGAGCCACCTTGGCCTGAGCTGGTGCCATCTTTGCCCCTCCTGGGATGTGGGCTGCATCTAGGAGGTTGCAGGTTTGGTCCGCCACTCCCTCACGGGAGACAGTGAGGGTCGTTTTCAGTCTCATGACTTAGGAAGCAAAGAGAGCAGCCCGCAAGAGAGGGAAAGTGAGAAGCAGGTGCGTAGACACGAGCTGAAGACAGCTCCTGGGTTCCCAACCTTCTTATGCATGGATTCTCTTTTGCGTTTTGGGCTGACAAAGGGTATTTCTGTTTGGAGCAAAAAAATCTTAATAACACAGAGAAACTTCTTTAACCAGAAATATTTTGAGAAAGAAAAGTCGAAGTTTATTTTTAAGTTGACTTAAAATCAAAGGAAAATAACATTTTCTTAACCTTGAGAGTCAGTATCCCAAGATATTCTTAACTCTTGTTTCTTCGACTGTGTTAGACGCATCTCCTTCCAAAATCTGGATGAAGCTGGTCTTTGTTCAGCCAGGTTGTCTCCCACTGGAATTGGTTTCTTAGGACCCCAGATACTGTGCTCAACCAGTGAGTAAGAAACACCGGATTATCACAGTATTGACTGTATATCCACTTAATTAAGGAAAAAAGAGCCCCATCCTCAGCTCTGGGGCGCACGTGGAACCTTGTTCCCAGGAGCCAGTTCTCAACACAGTTCATGCCCATGTTGTTCCCGCAGAGGCTCCGAGGTCCCTGAGGGAGGAGAGAAAGTCAGAGAGAACTCTCTCGGGTTCAGCCTCAAGAGCATGTCAGTCATTCTAAGCCGGACGTCGGAGGGCTCTGTGGAACTAAACTCAGCTGGGAGAGACCAGGCTGCTTGTCAAGCCAGAAAGGGAGGATCATCCACGCAGATGATCTCCTCTTGCCAAGATCGGCCTCTGAGACATTGCTCTGTGGCCTCCACTTCGAGGACTCTCTGTCCTGCTTGTCCATCAGACACACGAAAATCTTGCTAATAAGGGGTTATTGTCACTCCCCTCTGGCTTTTGATCCTTATTCAGGGTGTCTCTACCCATAGAATGAGGCAGGCTACACTCAGATGGGCACACGTACTTGCAGCAAACAAGGTTCCAAGTGCAGCTGTCACCTCTGTTCTCCACTGTCCCAATTTTTCGCTCTTCTTCCTTTGAAAAGGCCAAAGGATATTCATCAACCTACCCAGTTGCTCCATCTGAGACCCTAACAACAGTGTTTCAGGCCCAGGTCTGTCCAGCTGGTTTCTTAACTTTCGGGTGTTTTAATGTCTTCATCAAATATTTTCATTACCCCACCTGAAGTTGATGGCATTTTCCCAGCGTGATAAGGGACCCATTGCTTTCTATATGTTTGGTCACAAAATTCACTACCGTTTTCTAACGTAAACCACAATCTGGATTACTGAAATCTACAACCATGACCAGCACTGGTGTAATCAACCTAAAGCTGGCTACAGACTTCAGCGGGCACAAGCTCATCTCCCTCGTCCTTGAATGCAGCAGTTCCCTGTAGTTTAACAGAACAGGCATCTGGGCAGCCGATCCTGGCATTGCTAATGTCATCCTGGAACCAGCGACCTCAGTGTTTTTAGGTTGGTGCAGGAGGAAGTGCGGTTTTTGCCATTGAAAGTAACGGAAAAAAACCACAGTTCCTTTTGCACCCACCTAACAGATGCTCCTAGGGTGCCCCTGAGTCCCAGCTTGCTTAGGACAGTGTGCACAGATGTTCTTGCCAGCATGCTTTTTAACACCAGCCTCTCTTATTCTGAAAGTATCCCATTTGGACCAGAAATTACAGCAGATTCACCCCAGCTATGTTGCTCATGCAGCATTCAGCTGCATTTTCACTTTATTGCACAATCCTGAAGACCTGCTCCAGAAAGAGTAAAGGCAGCAAACAGTTACTTTATTTACCGATGCCTGAGGCTGCACCTGAGCTTCTCAGTTGTAAGAAGAGCCTTGAGCAGAACTAAGCTCTTCTCTCTCACTGCTGTCTGCTTCTTATCTCAGGTCTTTCTGCCTAGGAAAAAGCTGGATGCAACTGGCCCAGGCTATGGTCAGCCCTTGACAAGGCCTCAGCTGCTGAGAAGTTACTCAGGACCTCTGCTTGTCCCTGCAATTGGCTGCTGCAGTCTGCTGCCTAGTTTCTGCAAGGTTTCTGAGGCCTCTCGCATGACGCTGGTGTTTGAGGGCCAATAAATGACACAGCTTTCTTCCACTCAAGTGCACAATGAATTTGGAAGTAAGGCAGAGGCCTGACAGGAGAGAATCAATAGTGTTATAGCTTTAAGAGTCTGGATGAGGCCCTTGGCTTAGATCTGTAGCACAGCGGACATCTGGAGCATTACCTCAATTTTTTTTTTCTTTTCTTTTTGAGAGGGAGTCTCACTCTATAGCCCAAGCTGCAGTGCAGTGGTGCGATCTCGGCTCACTGGAACCTCCACCTCCCAGGTTCAAGCAATTCTCCTGTCTCAGCCTCCCGAGTAGCTGGGACTACAGGCACATGCCACCACACCCGGCTAATTTTTGTATTTTTGGTAGTGATGGGGTTTCACCGTATTGGTCAGGCTGGTCTCGAATTCCTGACCCCAGGTAATCCGCCTGCCTCGGCTTCCCAAAGTGCTGGGATTACAGGCATGAGCCACCATGCCCAGCCGCATTGCCTCAATTTTAAGCACTCCCCTCAACATCATCTCACCCCAAACCTTTGCAAGGGTAGAGCTGGCTCTGAGACTTGGGACTTGGCTGGAGGCAGACCTGGAAGCTTGTCTTCCATGACCGGCAGATGAGAAGAACCAAGGCATGCCCAGGAGCTGGGTTTAGCTGAAGAAACTCAGTTCCTCCCCTGAATCCCCCCTCCACAACCCTCCCTATCAGATTTGCTCCTCTCTCTCAGGGAAAATGGGAAGACAGGAGAGAGGGCAGCATGGACCCTGCCTGAAAACCTGCAAAGAGAAGCAATCCCGAGAAGCAATCCCAAGAAGCCACTGTGAATGAGGGCTTTGAATCATCTACTTAGAAAGAACTATACCTTATGGTTACAGCATGGACGGACACGGGAAGTAATCTGTGATTCCAATTCCATGTTAAAAAAATCCACAGGGCTCTAATAAAGGTTAAATAGTTAATTTTTAAAAATACTTTCTTTGTTTTCCTTTAACTTTTCTTTTAAGTTCTGGGGTACATGTGGAGATGTGCAGGTTTGTTTCATAGGTAAACGTGTGCCATGGTGGTTTGCTGCATGGATCATCCCATCACCTTGGTATTAAGCCCAGTATGTGTTAGCTCTCCCTCCCCTGGCCCCTCCCCTGACAGGTCCCAGTGTGCGTTGTTCCCCTTTCTGTGCCCATGTGCTCTCACTGTTCAGCTCCCACTTGTGAATGAGAACATGCAGTGTTTGGTTTTCTGTTCCTGTGTTAGTTTGCTGAGAATGATGGTTTCCAGCTTCATCCATGTCCCCACAAAGGAGGTGATCTCATTCCTTTTTATGGCTGCATAGTATTCCATGGTGTATATGTGCCACATTTTCTTTATCCAGTCTATCTTTGATGGGCATTTGGGTTGATTTCACATCTTTGCTATTGTGAATAGTGCTGCAATGAACATACGCATGCATGTATCTCTATAATAGAATGATTAATGTTCCTTTGGGTATATACCTAGCAGTGGGACTGCTGGGACGAATGGTATTTCTGACTCTAGGTCTTTGAGAAATCGCCGCACTGTCTCCCACAATGGTTGAGCTAATTTACACTCCCACCAACAGTGTATAAGTGTTCCTGTTTCTCCACAACCTCACTAGCATCTGTTGTTTTCTGACAAAACAAAACAAAACTACTTTCAATTTACAATTAAATTTAAGGTACTTAGAAGCTGAGGGAGAATTGTAACTTTTTTTATGCCGCATGTTGGAAATGCTGGAGTGTAACTGAAAACATGACAAAAAATAATTTTCGCAGCTTTAGTGAAATTGGTCAGACTAAATTTCTTAACGTTTCCTTAGATCTAACACTCCATGCTTTGATGTGTAAATATAATTCATCATAATCAGAGTTGGTGCTTTTTAAATGTCCTTTTTACATTTTTTAAAAAATTATTATTGTAGTGCTTTTGTTTCTCATTGTTGAGGCGCTTCCAAACTGCTGGAAAGCAGTTGACCTTGAGTACCTAGACATTGCCCCTGGGATATTGTTAAAAATGTGTTTTTTTAGTAATCTGATGGCAGGGATAAAGGTCAAATTTTAGCTCAGCTCCTGTCCTCATAATTATGGGTTACAAGACCTCTTCTCTGAATTAATGAGGTTTGACTGTAATTTAGACTGAAGCACACAGACCATGTTTCTGGAAGACCTGGGCCACTCTTAATGTGTGTGGAGGAAACAAAACAAAACTATACCACTCTCAAGAGTTTTATTTATTTTTTAACTTAGAACATATGCTTGAAAAATGTGAATCCTGATTCTGTTTTAAATAATATATTCTGAATGATACTTATTTGCTGACATTGGATATGCTACACTATATTTAGATCAGTAAAGCCCAGAGACCTTTCTGTTATGACAAATATTCACTTTGGAGATTTGAGAAAACAGAGACTATTAGGGCCAACCTGGGCTATATTCTAAAATATGATGAATTTAAATATGGACATGGGCTCCTCAGCAAGAAAGTGCCCTATCGGTCTCATGCGGGCACACCTCTGAGACAGGTCTTTGCCAAGTAGCCAAATTTTCACAAGAAGAGCCAAGGCAGCCCGTTGTGATTATGCAAAAATCGCAGCCACAGTGACGCATCTTTGACATGTCAGGGAAATGTTCTCACGCGGTGAATGAAATCTCCTGGGAGGGCCATAAATCCTGTGCAACAAATTATACACTAACAGGTTCTTAGGGGAATTCAAATAAATCCTCACAACCGCTTAGCAGGTAATCTCCAGATCAGATTCCCATTTTTCTCAAGAGCAAAATAATATATGGCTTCTTATACTCTCCCAGTGAAATGCTATATATCAAAGATATGAATTTAGTCGAAATATTGATCTTAAGCCAAAGTGAAACTAAGGGAAAGTTTAATGCTTTTCACCACAAAAGAGAGAGATGAGGGGAATGTGCATAAAATGTGCTTTATAAAGTGAAGCATTCTGGAGGAGAGGAGTGGAAAAATCCGGAGACCCGAGGTCTTCCTAATGTTGTCAAGTTAAGGAAAAACTGCAGAATTGGCTGCACAGTCCTGTACTTGCTCAGCAAGTTGTCATGGAGAGCTGCCCTTGCAATTAACACACATGAGATAGACTGCCAAGAAGGGAACTATCTTCACATTGCGTGAATCCTTCAAATGAGTTTTATTGCATTGCAGTTCACACATGTGATAGTACTGGGGTTCCATTCAGTGTCTTTCAGGGAGATACTGCCATGGGAGGCCGAGATTTGGTGGAATCTGAGGACACACTTGTGTGTATCTCGGTTAGTGGAGAGCTGAGCAAGTTTCCAAAAAATTAGATGAATGCAGATTACATCAATGGGAAATTCGAGTTCTCATTTCCTTTTACCAGTGACAGAAGCTCAGGACAAACATAATCAGGAAAATTATCTTTCTTTTCCACCTTAGTTTACCAAACCAAATCAACCCTCCCCAAAATCTCCTTGTAGCATCTATGAACCTCATGTGTCACAGGAAAAACACTTGTAAAAAAAGTCTTTATTTTTTTTTAAGAGCCTTCCAAAGGTCATTTATCATTCAATCATCTGTATGCTATCTAGAATTTATGAGTGAGATGCATTAAAAGAAGCTAAAAAGGAAACCTCAGCAGAAATGTTGCACAAAACTTATACACACATGGGGTGGCTCTGAATTTTATTTTTAATATTTGAAGCATGACAAGAGATCCTGCAATTGCTGTCCATTGGCTTGAGTTGCTAGATGTGACTTATCAGACAACCACAGCCAAAGTCCTAGGTAAAACAAAGTAGCTTTTCTAAATAGGGCATTACTTATTTATTTGGGGGATTTATAAAAATGTAGCCATCATGCAGAGCCTCTAGGTGCATGAATAATGCAAAAGTACAAAACATTAAGACACAGAAACAAACAGAAGCTAGATGCATAGTTCCATTTCTCTCAACAGACAGAAACCACTGTTTTGATCAATACATTGAATTACAAAGAGGAATTGCTAAAAAATGCAAATGGGAATTTAATAGGACATAAAAGATTTGGTCATCAAACAAACGCTTTCCTGCCATCTTGCATGCATGCTGGTAGCAGTGGGTGTCTGGGGAGTGGAGGCTACTGTTGAAGCAAGTGATAAAGCTGTTGACTTACAGAATTTTGTCATGAAGGGGCACCAGCGGGTCAGTGGCCTGGCCACAGGAAAGGCAAGAACACAGACTTTTCAGAGAAGACGACATGGCCCAGTGCTGTCTTCCCCACGTGGTCTTAGGAACTTAAATCTCGAACTCTGGTTCCTTCTTGTGTGTGGCCCTTCCGTGTCCATTTCCTGGTGCCCCGATGGAGCCTGCCAGTGTTTACAACCCATCAATCTTGTTCCTGTAACTCCATGGCTGGGCCATTTCTGGCAGCTCTAATCCTGATGACTTGAATGAATATTTTGATCAGTTTCTTTTTTCTCTTGGGTGTTAATCTCTAGCCCTGTTTGGTTTGAATCACTGGTTGCCCTGATTTGTCAGTGTTTTAGATGACATTACTTCAGCTTCTTTCTCAAACTCTACTCTCCCACTGAAAAAGCTGGACCCCTTTGTTGTTTTCCAGGCCTATAGGAAGGACAGGATGGTGGCTATTTGCATGCTCCCGAAGAGGGGAGAAAGAGAAAAAAGTAAAGAACAATGACTCTTCCTACTTTATTGAGACCGGTTGTAAATGTTGGTAAGAGACAAGGAATTTAGCCACTAAGACCTAAATACAGAAGAGAAATTGCTCAAACACAAGGTAATTACACAAACAGTGTCTATACTCACTAGCAAGAGAAACTTCACTTAATGTAGAAAGCCCCATAGGCTACTCATTAGTGCTTTTTAAAGCTATCCTTTAGGCTGGTTAAAATACCATCAGTGGAATATCAGGCTGGCATTCTGCAGCAATCCAGCGGAACTAACATCTGTGCTTCAGGAAAGACAGATATTCATGGTCCTGAACTCACCCGGGCTCTTAGAGAAAGAAGCATTAGTGTCAGGCCTGAGAAGAGACACTAAGTTTTAAGAGGTGAATTGTAGACCTTTACCTATCTTCTTCTTCTTTTTTTAATTTAATTTAATTTTATAAAAATGACCCTACTGTTCACAATAGCAAAGTCTCGGAACCAACCCAAATGTCCATCAATGATAGACTGGATAAAGAAAATGTGGCACATAGACACCATGGAATACTATGCAGCCATAAAAAAGGATGAGTTCCTGTCCTTTGCAGGGACATGGATGAAACTGGAAACCATCATTCTTAGCAAAGTAACACAAGAAGAGAAAACTAAACACTGCATGTTCTCACTCATAAGTGGGAGTTGAGCAATGAGAACACATGGACAAAGGGAGGGGAATATCACACATGGGGTCGCTCAGGTGTTGGGGGCCTGGGGAAGGGATATCATTAGGAGAAATACCTAATGTAAATGACAAGTTGATGGGTGCAGCAAACCAACATGGTACGTGTATACCTATGTAACAAACCTGCACGTTGTGCACATGTACCCCAGAACTTAAAGTATAGTAATAATTTAAAAAAAGACCCTAAAATGTCAAAATATGAAAAAGAAATTCTAAAATCACTGAAAAACAGGGTTTTATGGAAAAGCCAGATCCTTTAACATGTCTGAGGCTGTGAGACAGTGAGAACAGGCCATGACAAAGCCCGGTGACCCCAGTGAGGCTTGGCAAGAGTCCACCAAGGTGCGTGGTGGATGGATATCCCCCAGAATCCCAGGACCTGCCACCCTCCAGGCTCACAGCAGCGGGAACCAGGTGAGTGCTCAGCTCTGGACACATGGAGGCTGGCCTCCACTCCTGGCCTGGTCCTCATTCACGGTTGATCCCACCAAACCCAGCTCAGCAAAACCAAAAATACGTGTTGTAGCCGTGTTGTGGGGTCCAGGGAATGACAGAAACCCAGCTAACACTGGATGCCAGCTAATATGGAAGAGAAAAGTCTAAAAGATCCTAGCAGAGAAGGTTTTATTGCCATGCTTAGCCTTCCTGGTAAAATCTGTGATTTTCCACCTGACAACTACAGCTCAGCCTTTAAACACATCCTTGTAAGATCTCATTGCCAAAAGTGAGACAAGATTCAGGGCCCAGATCAAGGAGTCGGGGATACACTGAAGGTTTCCGAAAACGCTGACAGATGCCTGCACATAGAGTGACTAAGTTTATTCCTAGGATTCATTAATGTAGACAAATGAGGGCTTGCTGCTGTAGATTTCTAATCAGGACGATAGCCTTTGATAAAGAAGACGTATACCGCCCAGCAATTTTCCTGCTGCTGCATAAATGCTAGAGAACTGTACTATTGCAGAGCATGGCCTTGAATTATAAGAACGTGGCACACAGCAGATACCCAGTTAATGTCTGTGGAACGACAGACGCCTGAATAAAAAAATGTGCCCTTGAGGGTGTGGTCTTCATGCATTCCTCATGGCCGGTGCAGCTCGGGGCAGCACCAGCACTGTTAGATTCTGAGTAGAAGGAGGGTGGGTGAAGGCAGGTGAGAAGGCAGTAATGGGAACACACCCTGGCCCCGTGGGATCAGCACACATGTGGAGGTCCCACAGAGGACAGCAGGGACCCCTGGCTTTTTGGTAGCTGTATTTCTCAGACTCACAGTTGGACCTCTAATTAAGTAAAAGAAAAATGAGACAATATGAATGTCCTCGTCTTCTTGGTCTATTAGAGTTTGACATGATCTTTGACAAATTTGCTGCAAATTTCTCAGCTGTATAAATGCAGACATCTCCCTACAAATGAGCAGACAGAAACCGCTAAATTTGTGAAAAGATACGCATCTTCATAAAAATAAAGTGGGAAGTTTCAGGTATAGTTTTTTTTTTTAGATTAATTTATATCTTGAAAAAAATGGGAGCAAAAAACCAGCAACTCCCTAAAATTTGTATTCTCATCGAGATTTGGGATTGCATTGCCTCAAAACAGGCAATCTAAGTTTAGTAAATAACACTTTTAGGTAAAACACCTGATTCCTGAACTAAAACAGTTGATTATTTACTGCATAATGAGACAGTTGCCATTGTAGAAATTATTCACAGACTCCAAAGTAACAGACAAGGAAATGGACATTATGAATGACCTGAGAGGAAAATTTCTCAAAATTCTCATTTAGAGGATGGCTGACATATAAAAGAAATGGCATTGGGTGTTTACCCAATGAAATACAGAAGTTATTCTCAAAGAAAGGTTGTTAATGTTTTCCAAATGTAACTACAGATGTCATTAATGTTTATTTTAACCTACATTATATTTATGTAAATAAATGTAAAAATAAAATATAAATCTATATATAAATACAAAATAATTATAAAATTTACATTTCATTTATGTAAAAATATGTGTAATTTAAAAAGTAGATTTTATGCAAGCATAATTATTAAAAGGAAAAATATGTTGCTGAGACATATTGATGATCTACGTGTCAATAGCTCAAGTAATTCCAAAGGCATTTGCAAGCATGTTGATGGGAAGTGAGAAATCCAAGGGCAAGTTTTGTACATGGGGGAGTTAACATGAGAGTAGTTAATATTCTTGATGTAGAGAAAAGGATTTTCAACATGCTTTACATGATTTTAGAATAGAAAGAAACTGCATTAATTGTAAATAATTTGAGAAAAACAAAAAAAAGTATGAGGAGACTTGAGAAATGCATCAGAACATCAGAAAGTACAAGAATTAATAGTGAGAAAGTGTGAAACGATGAAACGAACTGAATCATAGTTACGATGACTGTCGAGATATACCGAGAATATCCATTTTCATGATATTAAAAGGCAATTCTCTCATATTGACTGAGAAGCACAATATATTATTTACAAAGAAATCTAAGAAAACAAGGCAAGGAAGAGATAAAAATTATAAAACTAGTAAATATATACTGTGCACATGTAAATAAAATAATTCACGGATTTAAATAATTGGAAAAAGCTGAATTCAAAGCAATAAAACGTCATCTCCATTGAAGATAAAACACTTACAAATATTTACTTAATAAATATCATAGTATCAACAAGAACTGTTAAAAAATTAAGCTATGATGATAATGGAAGCTCTCTTTTACTGACAAATCTAGAAAATAAACCACGTAATCTGATCCTAGACAACTGAAGTAATGTAGTTACTAGGCTAAATTCATCAGATGGATATAAAACATTGTTCATGGTAGTTAAGAATACAGTTTCTTTCCAAATGTATTTGGAACATAAACAAAACATAGACTCAAAAAATGCATTAAATATCTCAAAGTATAAAGTGTATGCAGAAACCACTGCTCAGCTATACTAAAGCTAGCAATTAACAAAAAAAGAACCAATTTGCAAAATTTTGAAAAAAAACCCTACAACTCTTGATTCAATGAGAAAACAGCAATTGCAATTTTATACAAAGTAAAAACTAAGTATAATATTATGTTTCAAATACATGTTATCCAGTAAATGTTGTACTCCAAATAAAATTCATATTTAGAAATATTTTTATTATTAAACTGCAAAGAACATATAATAATAAACTTTTTTCTATGGGAAACAAAACAAATAATTCTAGGAGATATGGAAAAGGAAATATAATATCAGAAATTAAGTTAAATAGAAGACAGAAAACACCACCATGAATAGAGGACTTTAATAGATGATTTTTGAGAAACAATCAAAAAGGTACATGTGCATAGACTGAAAATAAAATCCATGAAGGTTAGCCAAGAATCAAAAAAAAAAAAATCCACGTGCAATATTAAGATTAAGAAAGGAGATACAATGAAAGATGAAGAAAAATTAAGTCGTTAAAGGAAATTCAGCGTAAAATTCCAGGTAATAATTTTTATTTTTATTGTCAAAAGTTTTTTTTAAATATGTGTAAACTATTTCATGGTAAAATTCTTCCTTTCTTCTTTTTTTTAAAATTGAAATTATCTCAATTTTATTGAGAAGTTTCATGTAAGATCCACAAAGCTTCCTAGTTCCTGAACCGTTTGAATGTAACTTGGCCCCAAAAACACCCTCAATTTTTTTACATATGTATTCTACAAACAATGGCTATCTATCTGTCTACTCATCTATATTTTACCTGTTCTGTCACCCATCTATCTGTCTTCTATCCATCTATCATCTATCAGTCTATCATCTACAGATACTCTACATCCGTCTGTCTCTCTCCCTCTCTCTCTCATCTATCTATCTATCTATCTATCTATCTATCTATCTATCTATCTATCTATCATCTATCTATCATCATCTATCTAATCTATCCTCTATGAGCTTTGTAGGTAGCTACCTATCAATAAATCTATATATCTGTACGTAAGTGTATACATATAGAAAATATATGTCTATCTATCATCTATCTATCTATCTATCTATCTATCTATCTATCTATCTATCTACCTACCTACTTATTTATTCTATCTCTCCATCCATCAAATCATCTGTTCTATCTATTCTATCATCTCTACCATCAATCCTCTATCCATTCTATCTATCCATCTATTATCTACTCTATCTGTCATCTATTTCTATTTTTCTGTCATTCCTATCATCTATACATATCTGTTATCTATTTATCTATCATCTATGTAGCCATCTATTTATCAATTTTCTATTATCTCCATTCATTCACCATCCATTATATTTATCAATCATCTATCTCTGTTTTTCTATCATCTATATCTATAATCCGTATGTCATCTACCTACTTACCTGTTTATTTATTTATAATCTATCACTGTATCTATTATCTATTCTATTACCCATCTATTATCAATTTATTTATATTCTATCAGTCTATTTATCATCTATTCTATCATCTATCCATCTATTATCTATGGATCTATTTATTGCCTATTATTTATAATCCAGCAGTCTATCTGTCATCTATCTATTCTATCATCAATCTATTATCTATCTAGTTATTATCTATCCCTCTAGTATCTATGGATCTATTTATTTATAATATATTAGTCTATCATTTATCTATTCTATCACCTATCTATTATCTATGCATCTATCTATTATCTGTCAATCTATAGGACCCACAGACTGTCTGAGGCCAGAGCTGGGTCCCATCTCACTTAACTGTTTCAGCTCCAAAGCCCTTCCCTGGTCGCCCTTACTCCAGGCCACTCTCTTCAGCCTCCTCTGGCTCTGAT
Organism: Homo sapiens; assembly: GCF_000001405.40. Lineage (NCBI taxonomy): Eukaryota > Metazoa > Chordata > Mammalia > Primates > Hominidae > Homo > Homo sapiens. The sequence continues at coordinate 2,875,303 of NC_000010.11, read as the reverse complement.
ACCCTGCCAGGTACCCTTATTCTGAGACACACGTCCTGCAGTTGCCTTTCCACCCTGCTTGGGACCTGATGGCCTGCACAGGGCATGCAAATGCCCTTTTTACCTGCCTGAGTCCCACAGCCACATGGACTCCCCCTTGTGTCCTCTTCCCCGCTTCTGTCCTGGCTCAGGGTTCTGGCGCTCCTCACCTTGGCTGCCACCCAACGCCTTACTTGGCCTTGACTCATGGTGTTTGGGTCTAAATGTTGGAGAGAGGAGCAGAAGATAGAGAAGGACGGGGAAAGGGCAGTGGAAGATGAAAGCTAAATAAAAAGATAGGAAGAGAGGAAGTCAATTGTGCTAAGCAAATGAAACTTTTTGAAAGTGCTATTAATACTTAAGCATTTGTACATGGTGCAGAAAAAGAAGAAATTCACTAATTCGTGTTAAAAGCTAAGGTAGCAAGATAGTAATTCTGAAATGTTACTTTAGATTTTTCTAAAAATTGCCCCTCTCTGCAGAGAGGATGTGAAAACCAATTCTGAGCACAGGAGAGAAGGTTGGTGAAAACTCATGTAAGTGTTCAAATGCATGTGGGGTGTTCTTTCTCCTGTTTTCCTTTGGACCAAGGTGCTTGAAACTAGGGTGATGACCCAGAAAAGGGCTCTGGGACCACTTCAAATAACACTGTTCATTTACACAGAAATTATAGAACTGACTCGAGCCCAGAATCTGTGCACTGTGCCATGTCGCCAGCATGGCCAGCTCTCCTGTCCTTCCCCATAATCTTCTGGGGGCTTGATTCCCGAATTCCTAAGTAGGGCCGATCATATGGGAGTTTTCAGGAAGGGCTGGGTGTCCTGGGGTTTTTCTGTGGCTGATTCATGTGGTGTTTTTTTTGTTACTGGCATCCTTTTGATTAAAACTAATAAATCACAGCTTGTTTAAGCGACAGTGATGGTTGGATTGTAGTTTTTGCTTCAGGGAAATCTGTTATGGAGAAAATCAATTCACATTGTCTGGAAAAAAAGGAATAGGTCAAACACCAAGACAGGGACAAAATCCTTTAGCAGCTAGTTAGTCATTGACATTGTCTAGAGGTGCCTTCATTGTGCTCTAGTGGACACCTGGCTCTTTATTGAAGACACCTTTTTTCCAGAGTTTTCCAAAGTGATTGTCATTTTTCTCCCATGGGTGGAAGAAGGGCCACTGCCTCCTTTTTCCCCAGGTGACACTGGAAGACCTTTCTTCCTCTCTCCTTCCTACATCTTCCAGCTTTGATGATCATAGCATCAGGTTCTATTGCCTCTTCAGCATTTTATAATCTCCTCGTTTCCCAACGATCTTGGTATTCAGTGTAACTCTGTCCAAGACCCCTGCTGTTTTAATTCTCTTAGTTTCTGTGCACATGAAGGAGATCTTCAAAACATGGTGCCTCCATTCCTGGAGCTCCTCTAGCTGTCTTGTCCTGGTTCCCACCTCTTCCATCAGCATGCATGGAGCTCCTCCAGCTATCTTGTTCTGGATCCCACCTCTTCCATCACCATGCATGGAGCTCCTCCAGCTGTCTTGTCCTGGATCCCAACTCTTTCATCGCCATGCATGGACCCCTTTGACAGCAGCTCCTGCCTCTCCAGCTTGAGGGCCATGGGCCAGGCATCCTTCTTTCCTACAGTGCCTCCAGCCCGTGGAATGCATGGCACTTTTGTTTTCCATTTCTTGGTGCTCTTCCCTGCTCTATGTGCAGCCTTCCCCTCTTAAGCTTCCAGTCCATTGTCAGTTGTTACCACGATTCTCTTGGCCCCTCTATCTCTTCATTTGCTTGTTTCTACCTGTGCCCTTCTACGGGGCAAAACGCCTGGCCCAGTGTTCTTCGTCTGAACTGCAGAACACGGAAAATGATTCCATGGCATTTTTTTTTTTTTACTGTCTTGAGCATGGTACACAACCAGGATCATTTTCAATGCAGAGAAGAGCAGTGAATTCATGGGACCTGAGCAGAGAGAGGCATGGTTAAGATGATGCTTTAAAACCTAAGATTGCCAGGCACGGTGGCTCATGCCTGTAATCTGAGCACTTTGGGAGGCTGAGGCGGGTGGATCACGATCTCAGGAGTTCAAGACCAGCCTGGCCAAGATGGTGAAACCCCGTCTCTACTAAAAACACAAAAATTAGCCAGGCATGGTGGTGCTCACCTGTAATCTCAGCTAATTGGGAGGCTGAGGCAGGAGAATTGCTTGAACCAGGGAGGCAGAGGTTGCAGTGAGGTGAGATCACACCACTGCACTCCAGCCTGGGTGACAGAGTGAGACTCCAGCTCAAAAAACAAAACAAAACAAAAACCTAAGATCACTGCACTGCTAAAAGCCTTGCAGCCTTCCTGCCTCACTCAGAGGGGAAGCCCGAGTCCTTGCGATGGCTTACAGTGATGGCATGACCTGCCCCCCAACACCCCAAACCCTTTTATCTTATCCACCACCACCCTTCCTCACTTTCTCGTCTCATACTACATTGGCCGATGGATCAGCTGCACTCCTGGCCTGGGGCTTTGAGATCCTGCCCACTTTGCCTAGGAAGCTCTTCCCCACATACCCGCATGGGTTGCTGCCTCCCATCCTCAAGTCTGACCAGGTCTCATGTGCCCAGCGAGGACCCCCTGGCTGTTCCGTGGTGATGGCCGCTCCCCTTTGCCCTTCACTCCCTATGCATGCCCTGCCCATCCTCTACTTTTCATTTTTCATTTGGCCTGATTGTCTTTCAACATACCATGTGTTTCTTTATTATTCTTATGCTTTATTTTCCCATGTCCTCCAGCCTGGTTGTGGTCCCACGTGGGCAGGGGTCTGTCTGTTTCACTCACCGCTACGTCTTAAGCACTCAGAGGAGTTCTCCTGAGAGCTGATGAAGAACTGTTTATTTGATGCATGAAGAAAAGAGAACATGTATTTCAAAGGAGATGCTTCTGTGGCCCACTCAAATCACAACTGTTCAGTGATGAAAGATGCGACATGTTAGTATGTGGAGTGTGACCCAAGTGACATGTTAGTGTGTGGACTGTGACCCGGGACATCTTAATATGTGGAGTGTGACCCATGTGTCATGCTAGTGTGTGGAGTATTTCCCATGTGACATGTTAGTAAGTGAAGTGTGATCCATGTAACAGATTAATGTGGGGAGTGTGACCCATGGGACATGTTTGTGGAGTGTGATCCATGTGACATGTTTGTGGAGTGTCTCCATGTGACATATTATTATGTGGAGCGTGATCCATGTGACACATTAGTGGAGGTTGATCCATGTGACATATTTGTGGTGTGCCTCCATGTGACACATTAGTATGTGGAGTGTGATCCATGTGACATGTTTGTGGTGTGTCTTCATGTGACACACTAGTATGTGGAGTGTGATCCATGTGACATGTTTGTGGTGTGCCTTCATGTGACACACTAGTATGTGCAGTGTGATCCATGTGACATGTTTGTGGTGTGTCTTCATGTGACACATGAGTATGTGGAGTGTGATCCATGTGACATGTTTGTGGAGTGTGATCCATGTGACATGTTTGTGGTGTGTCTTCATGTGACATACGAGTATGTGCAGTGTGATCCATGTGACATGTTTATAGTGTGCCTCCATGTGACATGTTAATATGTGGAGTGTGATCCCTGTGACTTCCTAAAGTTCATCTGGGAATGTGGACCCAGGAAGCACTATTTAAAAATAATTTCCAAGGTAATTTGATACAGCCTGTCCCTTCACCCTCTCCCAAGCCCCAGATAAAATGGCTCCGGGGTAATATGCATGCAGGCTTCTTGTGTGACTTCAACATTCTTCCTGCCTTTGAGCCTGGCTGCAGCCTATGCCACCTTGGAGCCCAGCTCCTCTCTGAAATCTGCCTGGAGGAACCACAGCACTGTCTCCTTCTTCAAAGCCCCCTTAGGATTTTTGCTTTTTACTGATCATGCAGCACTTAGGACATTTCGTCTTGTGTTATCATTCTTATAAATAGTCTTTGTCCTCAATATCTTGTGTATGCTTCTCTTTGTGTTTTTGTATCCCAAATATCTAGCAGCCAATAAACTTGTGATGATGATGAAAACTGGAAAAAATAGTGAGAAAAATGGCAAGAAAGGATCACAGATCAAACATGACTTAGAAATGAGGTACAATCCATGCTCGCCTCTGATCTGGGTCAGTTTGTGCTTTTCTGGGTGTAGAGTTGCTGTGGATGGGAAGACAGAGAAGAAAGCTCATCTAGGGCGGGGGTGGTGAGGGCAGTGGGGGGCAGAGGGAAGAAGGCCAGAAACCCACACAGGCTAATTTGTGGGGAAGATGGAGGATGCTTAGTGTAGTGGATCTTCTGAAATGTAAATGGCAGTGGGATAAATAAGTATATATTTGAGGCTGCGAAAATACACCCTCTGAAGCTAATGACAACATAATGATCAAAGAGATCAGTGTTGTCTGAACAAGCTAACAGCCTGCGTCTCTATAGTGACAGCCTCTCCCATCGCTGCTGAGAAGCTCCAGAATTAATCTTGACAAAATTCTGGTAAAAAATTGATTAACGTAGAAAATGACTCTGCTTTTTTTCTCTTTCTTACTTAGTCCACTTGCCAGGTTGAACAAAAAAGCCTCATATACAAATCCCCAATTCACATAGGAACTGGTAATGTAAGTAATGTCTTCACTTCTGTGAGCCTATTATCAGGGTGAGTGAGCCTGATATGAGAGTTAAAAATGCCTAATTCGTGATTGAACATTTTTTCCCCTGCACAATATCACGTCATATGGCCACATACTGGGTACAATACACCTCTGATTAGGAGCAAACCTCTGGCTGATCGATCATGATATTAAGCAAATGTTACTACAGATAGGGCAGACCTCATCAGATCCTGAATTCCTGGAGCACCCACCCTTTGTATCAGTCACTCAGCAATTGACTTTTTACTTTCTTGTGATAGCACCAGTGTTTTTGGGGTAAATAGTTTTTTTAAAAAAATTAGAGACAGCATCTTGCTCTGTAGCCCAGGCTGGAGTGCAGTGGTACAATCATAGCTCACTGCAGCCTCAAACTGCAGGGCTCCAGCAATCTTCTCATCTCAGCCTCCCAAGTAGCTGAGACTACAGGTGTGCACCACCTTACCTGGTTACCTTTACCATTTTTGTAGAGACAGGGCTTCCCTATGTTTCTCAGGCTGGCCTCAAACTCCTGCATGCAAATGATTCTCCCACCTCAGCCTCTTTAGTAGCTGGGACAACAGGTGCATGCCACCACTCTTGGTTAATTACAATATTTTTTTGTAAAGATGAGATCTCTCTATGGTTCCCAGGCTGGTCTCAAACTCCTGGCCTCAAGAAATCCTCCTGCTTTGGCTCAAATAGCTTTTTGAAATCTTCTCTGTATGTTTTAAAAGCATGTCATACGTTTTTACCCTGCATCTCCAGCTGTTGAAGGTTCTGAGAATCAGAGCTGCTGATAGGTGTCTATCAGTTTTACATTCTACCAGTCTTTCTAAATCACAGAAACTCAGGAATCTAGTGAAGAGAGGTAAAGCCATCACCAAACACTAATAGAACATTCATCCAACTAACAAACACATTTGCTATTGTAGGGAAGTGGTTCGTGCTTCTCACACACTCCCAGGGCTCCACTGAACAGTTCTGGGTATTCCAGCCTCACTCTAATGCCCAACACCTGCATCTTTGGTGAAACGCTATGCTGGGGTTGCTGGAACCCCATTTGTCCATTTGCATGACAGAACCAGGTGTCAGGGAATCAATAAGCCCTTGCCTATAACAGGTATGCACATCTGTTCAGTGAGTCACCTCCTTCCTGGAACTTTTGCCAGAATTCTGAGCTATGTATTTTTCTTGGTTTCCCAGTTTCACTGTAAGATTAAGCATCAGCTGCCCATGGCCTTAATTGTGCAGCCCTAAGTGGCTGCCTTCCCTGCCCTAGTCACTTCCTTTTTCCCTGCACCTCCCAATACACTTTGCACAGTCCCCCTTCCCCTCAGGACTTGCCTCTCGGGAGAACCTCACTTAGACAATAGGGACTGACGTGGTCCTAGGAGCCAGTCCTGGATGGGACTCTAGGGTTGGGGCATCTGCATGTCTGATGGCACCTCAGTGGCTGGTAGGGTGTGGTCATCCATGATTGGTGCATTAATAAAATTACTAAGATGCCCCCTGTCTTAGTCCACTCGGGCTGCCACAACAGAATGCTGCAGACTGGGTGGATTAAATGACAGACATTTATTTCTCAGAGGTTTAGAGGCAGGGAGTCTGAAATCAAGGCATCAGCATATTTGACTCCTGGAGAGGGCTCTTCCTGCCTGCAGATGGCTGCCCTCCTGCCGTGTCCTTCCTCACTATGTCCTCATATGGCCTTTCCTGGGGGCATGTGCCTGGGAGACTGAGATCTCTTGTCATCCTCTTCTTTTAAGACCTTCGGTCCCATCTCTGGCCCTTGCTCACATGACCTCATCCAAACTCTTGAAGGCCCAGCTCCACAGCCCATCACATGAGGGTTAGAGCTTCAAGTCTGATTAGGTCTGGAGGGCACAAGACGGCCTGATGACCAGACAGCCCCAGCCCATTCCACCTCCCCTGGTGGGATGGACACTTCTCCATCAGCCTGCATCTGTGTTCCTAGGACCAGTGAATGGAGAGGAAACATTTGGACCTTTTCATGGTGAATTTGTTACATTACTGGAGAACCTAAAAATGGGCTCCAGCTGTCCCATAGCCCATTTGGGGTGGTTCTGATGGGCAAGGATGAGGTAAAATTTAAGGGGGTGGGACATTGTTTTAAACCATCAATTTGTGCTCAACTTCTTTGGAGGGAATCATGGCTGGAGGTAAAGATGGGTCTTTATAGAGAGAGGTGATGGCTTGGCTGTGAATAAGAATCTGAGGAGCAAGACTGGCAGATCTGAGCAGGGACCTCTCGGGCAACCACGTGCTTGGAGTTAAGGGTGCCTCAAATCCAAAGGTCTTTGAGCCTCACATTGATGTCTCCCAGACAATGTGTGCCCTGCAGAGGGAAGAAATGACTCATCCAGGGAGAGTTTATCCAACTTGTCTCTAGAACATGGTGGGCTCAAGAATGGAACGGCCATGGCTGCTTAGATGTCCACTGTGCATGGCTCCCCAGGCATGACTTCCGCTCCTCCAGCGGATTCAGGGATGGCCCCTGCTGAGTGCCTTTGAGGGGTCCTCCATGTTGTGGTAGCATGTTGAGGACACCAAGCACTTTCCATCATGGGGCTGTGTGGGCTTTGCCCTTCCTGGGGCTGATAGACACCCTGGGCACTGCTCTGTACTTTCAGCCTGCAGGGAGCTGGCCAGCACCTTCAGCACAGCCTCACAGATTGCATTGTTGTCATGCGATTCTGCATCTCATACTTCGGATAAAGAACCCGCTGCATTAATTTCCCATTGCTGCTGTAACAAATTACTGCAAACTTGGTGGCTTAAAACAGCACTTTTTTTTTCTTGCATTATTATCTCATCGTTTTGCAGATCGGACGTCTGAAAGGGCTCTCACCTGGCTAAAACTAAAGTGCTGGTAGGGCTTGTTTCTTCTGGAAGCTCTATGGGAAAATCTGTTTCCTTGTCTTTCCCGCCTTCTGGAGGCCACCTATGTTCCTTGGCTCATGGCCCCTTCCTCTATCTTCAAAGCCAGTGCCAGCGCCAGCCTGTCCAGCCTTTCCCGTGCTGCGTCACTCTGGTGCTGACTCTCCTGCCGTCCTCTTCCCTCACGCTAACCCTGGGGATTACATGGTTGCCCACCTGGAAAATCCAGGTTAATCTCCCTATTTTAAATGCATTGACAACTACAATCCCTCCTTGCTTATAACAAGGTACTCCAGGTTCTAGGGACATTTTATAAATGAATAAACTGAGATTCACGGTGGGGACTAACTTGCCCAAGACATTTTTTGGGGTGCATCACTCTGCCTTTGATACCAGTTCATAGTGCAGAGGTTGTAACAATCAGACAGCCCGTTAGCATTGCCACATGCTGCAATGTTGGAAAGTCCTGGGCTAGCAGACATCCGTGTAGACTCCCAGAGAGGTGCAAAGTCTCCAGCTCAGTGTAACAGCTGGAAGGGCTGCGGCATCCCTCAAGGGTCTGCGCACATCTACTGACTGGAGGAAAGCCGCTCGTTGGGTAACAAGTGGTAGAAGGAGGCCCCCTCATCATGACCCTGAACAACCCACTTGGAAATCTTGGACTCCCATTTTTGGAGCTTGGGCTCTGCTCACCTGAAGGTCCTGATTCCAAAGAGAAGGGAATTTTTTGAGCAGGGGTCTCATGACTGTTACATGAAGGCTACATTTATGGCTATAGGACTTCACCTATGGGACTTTCTATGGTCCCCAAAGAGTAGGCAAAAAAGAGATCATTCTGCTAGCAAAGACAATGGACCCTGATTACCATGAGAAGGTAGGATTGCCTCTCGCTGTGTGGGTGGGAGGGTATGTCTGGAGACTAACAGGTTCCTGGAGGGGCTTTTGTGGCATCCAAGTCGAGTAAACACTGTGAATGAGAAGCTGCAGCAGCCATCAGCCTGACAAAGGCCCCGACCGGGATGCCAACCCTTCAGGCATGAGGGACTGGGCTTTTCCTGCTGGGCTTGTAACTGCCACGAGCCAACATGCTGACCAAGGGTGAAGGGGTGTCTGGAATGGGTGGAAGAAAGAGAAGGTTCACATAAATGATCACCTTGGGGCCAATGGCAGCATGAGCAGGTCTCACTACAACTTCTATAAAACTGTCTTTTCCTCTTTTTTAATTTCTTGTAAGAATTGGGACTAACCACCACTTGGAGGAGAAGGCAGATTGACAAGGGAATAACCAGGTGTGAGGAGAGGGAGGGTTCGCATCGTGGCTGCTGCTTTTCTGCCGGGACTCAGGACCACTGGCCACTGCCAGGAAAGCCGGCTGCCCCCGAGGCCGGCAACATCGTCCCCAGGGGCTACCCTCGGGGTGCTGGGCCCTCTCTTGCTGGACACCCACACAGTCCACTCATCCAGTGACAGATGAGCTTGGGGTTTAAAGTTTCCTGGGCTCTGGGCCACCATAGCTGTGAGCCACATTTCATATCATTTCTGAGAGCTTCCCTGCAGGATGAGCTTCAGTGGCTTTCGCTGGTGTTGGGTTTAACGACGCACTCGTTATCAGGAGCCTTCACTTCTCCACATCCTGTGTTCGCTCTCGTGCAGATGCTCCTGCACACGCAAAACAACACACGTGCAACACGCATGCAACACGCGTGCACTCCACCCAGGGGAAGCTCAACATGCGTGCACTCCACCCAGGGGCAGCTCAACACGCGTGCCCTCCACCCAGGGGCAGCTCAACACGCGTGCACTCCACCCAGGGGAAGCTCAACACGCGTGCACTCCACCCAGGGGAAGCTCAACACGCGTGCACTCCACCCAGGGGCAGCTCAACACGCGTGCACTCCACCCAGGGGAAGCTCAACACGCGTGCACTCCACCCAGGGGCAGCTCAACACGCGTGCTCTCCACCCAGGGGCAGCTCAACACGTGTGCACTCCACCCAGGGGAAGCTCAACATGCGTGCACTCCACCCAGGGGAAGCTCAACATGCGTGCACTCCACCCAGGGGCAGCTCAACACGCGTGCTCTCCACCCAGGGACAGCTCCTGCGAGACTCGAGTCTGAGGGGAGCACAGGGGCCGGGATGACTGCCGTGCACCACAGCCCGCAGGCATTCAGATCTGCAGGTTCTGTGTTTTCAAAAGCTTGGAATAGATAGGTCATTCCTGGTCTCTTATTTTGAATCATGAAAAAAACTAGTTTTTATTGTAGTGAGCAAAAAAAAAGTTTACTTTTTAATTGTCCACCCAATGAGGAAGATACTGATAGCTATAAGGCACCCATGGTGTGCTTTCAGGCACCGATCTAAAAAATGTACGCATATTATCTCACTGATTTATCATCATATTATGAGATTGCTGTATTGTCCACATTATATTCATAAGGAAACCGAGGTTTCGAGGAGGTGAATAACTTCCCCGAGATTACACAGCAGGAGGTGGGGCTGGGACTCAAACCACGCGTCTCTGGTCCTGATCCCATGCAAGCTCCAGCTCATGTTGCTCAGGTTGGTCTCGGAATCCTGCTTGCAAGTGATCCTCCTGCCTCAGCCTCCTTAGTAGCTGGGACTGCAGGTGCATCATGGCAGCACTTTTAGATAATTAACAATTTTTTTTTTCAGGGCCTCAAGCAATCCTCCTGCTTTGCCTCAAAAAGTTTCCTAAAATCTTCTCTCTCCCTTTTTTTTTTTTTTTTTTTTGAAATGGAGTTTTGCTCTTGTTGCCCAGGCTGGAGTGTGGTGGCACAATCTTGGCTCACTGCAGCCTCCACCTCCTGAATTCAAGCAATTCTCCTGCCTCAGCCTCCCAAGTAGCTGGGACTACAGGCACCCATCACCACACCTGAATAATTTTTGTATATTTAGTAGAGATGGGGTTTCACCATGTTTGCCAGGCTGCTCTTGAACTCCTGACCTCGTGATCCGCCTGCCTCGGCCTCCCAAAGTGCTGGGATTACAGGCATGAGCCACTGCGCCCGGCCTTCTCTCTCCTTTTTAAAAGCATGTCATATGTTTGTACCTTGCATCTCCAGCTGTAGAAGTTTCTGGGAATCAGAGCTACTGATGGGCGTCCATCAGTTTCACATACTGCCAGCATTCCTAAATCACAGAAACTCAGGAATCTAGTGAAGAGATGTAAAGCCATCACCAAACTCTAATATAGACACTCAAAGTTGCGTGTCTCTGGTCCTGATGCTCCCCTCTCACACCCTCCCCAACATGGCTTACTGTAGGCCTCTGAGCCCTGCCTATTGACTTGATCTTGTTGACAATGGATGAGGCTTCCAAGGAGATCATTACGTCTTGAGATAAAGTCACCTCAGGGAAGCCAAATTAAATCATTCCGTCGGTTGGTGACCTATATGCTGATTAAAATTAAGTAACATAACAGGCCCCAGGTGATTTATTCCTTTAAATATACTGTAATTTCCCCTGTGCTTTGAATCACATCATCCTCCTTTTCTCTCAAGAACAGACGCCACGCCTTCATCCAAGTGTTTGATTTGTTCATTGAAGAGATGCAACCAGGTCATAAAATAGGTCAATTTTTAAAATATATGTCTTATAGGTCAGATTTATTTTAAAAAGGCAAAATTGAGGTCAGATGCATGAGTCATTGTGCAGTTTTTTACTTTTGAATTCTGCCTGTAAGAATGAGGCAACCTACATCTCCAAACAAATGTATCTGCATAGAAAAATTCAGGTTCTTGTTTATTCCCTCCTCATTCTCAATTTGTGAATATGCAACTACAAAGTTAAATTCCCTTTCCTTAATTTTTTTTTTGGGTAAACACTGTCACATTGTAAGCTTCTTTATTTATCTTGTTCATTAAATAAGCCAATTCCATGTGCCAGGCACTGGGTTAGTCACCCACTAGATCAGGAGTAAGGGAGTTTAGTAAAGTGCTAGTTACAAAAGGATGGGCAAGCTGTAGGAAAACCAGCAAGCCAAAATGCAGTCAGGGACTTACAAGAGTAGGGTCAGTGACTGCCAGCTCTGGAGGGTGGGGTGGGAATAGTTACAGAAGCTCAGAGTCAGCCCAGCCATATGGACAGCCTTGCTTGTCAAGGAAGGCGGCCCCCTGTGGGGTTCCCCATGGAGAGATGGTGAGGTTGAACGCTCTGCCTAACTCCTTTCATCTGTCTCCTGGGACTCCCCAGCCCCCATGCCCACCCGGAGGCCACTGGGATGTGCTGCAGGGCAGCGTCTCAGAGCACAGGGCTGGGTGGGAACTTGGGGGCATATACGGGGAATAAAGAAAAAACACCATGGCCGGGCGTGGTGGCTCACGCCTGTAATCCCAGCACTTTGGGAGGCCGAGGCGGGTGGATCATGAGGTCGGGCATTCGAGATCAGCCTGGGCAACATAGTGAAACCCCGTCTCTACTAAAAAAATACAAAAATGAGCTGGGCGTGGTGGCGCACACCTGTAATCCCAGCTACTCGGGACGCGGAGGCAGGAGAATCACTTGAACCCAGGAGGCGGAGGTTGCAGTGAGCCGAGATGGTGCCATTGCACTCCAGCCTGGCAACAGAGCAAAATGTCAAAAAAAAAACCCAAAAAAAGAGAGAAAGAAAGACAGATCACCGTGCTGCTGATACCGAGACACTCAACCTGATGGTCTTGCCAACTACAATCTAAACATTTCTTTAATTCCAGCAAGTCTGAAGCGAAGTGGACACACAGAGGGTGTCCTAACATATTCCTGAGGAAGGTGGGAAGGATTCTGTAGAAAGCAGTCCTTAAACTGAGATTGACAGATTCTTCAAAATACCGTATCACTCACCTGTGAAAAATAATTAGTAACAAAGACAATCACTGAGAACTGAGGCCTTATGAGAGTTCTGCAGCATTGCAAGGTGTATGTTAATTTAGTGTTCGTTGGTACAGCAATGTGGAAAGGTATATTCATGGAAAGAAAAAAAGATCAGACAAATAAAAGTAGTAGAACTTTCAGCACCAGTGCACACCAGGAAAAGGTATTTAAGTAGACGAACTACGGAAGGGTATCAGCTGATGAATTGTCTTGGAGAAATCAGTTAAGATAAGCTAACTGAAATGGTTTTTACATAAGCAAAAGCTAAACATGTGCTAAAATATGAGGTAAATCAAGAAACCCAAAATACACTGATAAAATGAGCAGGCCAAAAATAATCTGTAAGTATTCCGTCTGTGCTTCTACTAGTAGAAACCAAACGAAGCAAATAATCAAATATTTTGAAGATATCCTACTGGTTTACATTTTGGCAGAATTCTGAATAAATAATTTAAGTGTCTTGGCAAGCAGAAAATGGTTATAAAGGGGAAAAAGCAAAAATGTAGAAGGATTAATCAAAATCCTTAATGTTAATGTCAATAAGTGTTTATAACTCATGCTCAAAAAATGTCACCTAATTTTTGTAAAAGATCTGGAAAATGAACTTGCAGCAAGCTCTCAACAAGTCCCACTGGACGGCACAAGGTCTTCATCATGGCAGCACAGTGTGTTGGCACCTGCCAATGAGTTCATCATGCTACTTGGTTAGTTTTCTCTCTCGATGTCCCTCTTTTCCTGTAAGATTTTAAGTCCCTTGCAGGCAAGGAGGCTGACTTATTCCTCTAGCACAGTGACTTGTAGATGGTCATAGCTCCAGAAAAAATGTATCACCCTGAGGGCATGTTTAGTGAGTTTTTACTGAGAGATCAGGCTTCATAAAATACCATGGGTTCTTTGTTGAGAGGGTAAATGCTGTCATAAAGAATCAAGCAATTCTTCAAGTGCTCTTCATGTTTCTGGCAGTGGTTAAGAGGAATACGCTATCATTGGAAGCACTTTGACAGTGATGAGTGAGAACGGCTGCGTCCAAGACAGGATCTGATGTTATTTATAGCATTTTAATGGGCAAATAGTGAGAGATGTGATAAAAAAGACGTGGAAACCAGCATGAAAGACAAGCTGAAATATATTGTAAATGGGAATGTAGATCATAACGCTGACAAATCTAGTTGAGAGTGATAGTTTGAGAAAGGGATTGAGAAAGGATAGTTTCCTCCTATTCCAGTCTGACTGGGGAAAGAAAAGTTAAGCTATTCCACAACTAGGAGGAGGAAAATAAGTAAAAATCCAAGGAGAACAAAGGTGAATTAAGAAACAAATTATAAAGATGCTACATTAAATATTTACTACAATTTTTCTAGCTAGGAGGTAGAAAACTCATTCCAGCTAAATTAATCGATCATTCTATTGAGTCACTGTAGTGGCCTCAAAAGCAGGTGTTAAACAACAGAGATCTAGTTATGCACAAAGACAGTCCAGATTTCTCTTTATTAATTTAACATGCTGTGTTTTTGTAGCACTTTCTTGTTAATAAAATGTGTTTATTCCAATGCCACATTTAACCCTCACGATAATCCTGTGAGGTTAGTAACTCTTTCTTACAAATGGGGAAATGGAGGCTCAGGGGGGTAAATGATTCATGCAATGGAATTCACACATCTACATAATAGCAGAACTGGGGTTCAAACCTGGCCTTCCCTTGATAACCTTAGTATTCATTTCTCCACACTAAAATTTGGTTCTGGTGAATGTTTATTGATTGGTTAGAACAAGTTATAAAAATAATCAGTGGTTTGGTTGATATTTATTACAAAAATATAATACAGAAAGATCTTTTTCTCATACCTGAATGAAGAGAAATTATTTTATAAGAAAATAAATCAGAACCCAAGATTATTTTTGAGGGTCTCCTGTGGGAATACCATCTATGAGGAGGCAGTGTAACACGGTGCTTAAAAACATAGACTTTGTCAGACAGACCTTAGTTGGAGGCCTGACTTTGCCACTAGTTTCTTCTGTATCCTGCCACTGGACATCTTCAGCTTTTTTTCCTCATCTTTGAAGTGGTTACCTTCCCAATAATGTTGTTATGGAATTTAAGCAAGATTAAACGTAAAGAACTTGTCAGGGTTCTAACACAATATTCAATAAAGAGTGATGTTATTATCATATTAGCATTCCTAAAACATTGTGGCAGATTATTATAATGGTTTCCCTTCAAGGTCATCCCTCCCTGCATCCACACCCCTGTGGGCCTCTTCTCTGCCACCATATTGACTCCATGTGACTTGCTTTGGCCAATGGGAGATGAACACAATTGAAGAAAGCAAATTCTTGACAAACATTTGCATAGCTGGTCTTACTCTCTTGTGTTGCTGGGCTGTTTTCCTCTATGTGAAGAAGCCAGGACTTGTTCACTGGAGACAAAACCAGCTGTCAGAGAAGCGACTGAGGATGTCTCAGACCAGCAGCTCCAGCTGAGCCATCAGATGACTGCACCTATATGAGTAAATCAAGATGCAAGTTGGAGAAAAACCATCCAGCTGAGCCCAGCCCAAACTACCAATCCACAGAATTATGGGCTCATAAATAGTTGTTTTCGGACAATCATTTTTAGAATGATTTGTTATCCAGGAATAAATAAATAAATAAATTTTAAAAAGTAACTGCTACTTTGAAGTTGGATTGTGTTGTAACCAAACCTAAATGTGTGGTATTGGCTTTGGAACTGAGTGATGACTAAAGGAAGGAAAAAAAATAAAGAAACTTCTACAGAAGGTTGGGAAAACAGTGACATGTGTGTAGTGTTATGAGAATTAACAAAATGTTGTCTCCCATATTCTGAGGGGAAAAAGCCCCTAATGGTCTTGTTGATTAGAGCTAAAGAGTTATATTTAAGTAGGATGTTGATAGATTTTGTTGGATGCGTGTAGATGTAGGATAAAGTACTACAAGAGAAAGATGACTAAGGAAGAAACTCTAGTTTTCCAGCAAACTTTAGAGAAAACATAAAGAACTCAGTACCTGCCAGTGGGAAAATAAAAGATTCTCAAAGTAAGAAATGATCTCAAGTCATGATCAAATCAAATGTGTGGCTACACAGCCCCTTTAAAAAATGTTTAAAAAAGATGTAAAGAAAAGTTAGACAAACAGACTTCTAAAAATATTAAAGGAGTTGTTTAAAGTGTCAAGACATGCTCAACATAGAAAAAGATCTTTCTCAAAAAGAATTAGGATATAGGCTTTTTGTCATGGAATGAACTTCAATAAGATACATCAGGAAGCCACAAAGTTTTTAAAGAAATTGTGTCAGTGTACACCAAAAGGATTGTGACTGTTCAGAAATTTTTTAAAAGACCCTGCATTTCTAACTTTCTATAAGGAGGTTTTAGGCTGAGAAAGCTGCTCAGCTGCAAACAACTCCTTTTTAGAAAAAGAAAGATGTCTTACAGGATAGAGCCAAGAGGTCAGAAAGCAGAGCAGAGAGCCATGGAGAACAGTGCACTGAGGTGCTACTCTCAGGTAGCAAACATCGACCCTTGTCAAGAAATATGCTCCTTTTGCTGGGGAACTGGCAAGGTGTGGCTTGTTGGGTTTCATGATTACTGTGGTCTAGTGACTGCTTTGCCCTTCTCAATCCCCACCTTTTAAAGTAGGCATGCCTGTTGCAGTTATCTAGTCTTTGTCTTAATGCAATCAGGAGGAACTCCACCTGAGAAGTTGCACTTGAAGAATCTCATTAACATCTGAACCTCATGCAAGCCACATGGTTGTGGATTTGGCGCCTGATTCAGTGACTGGATAAATCTTGGCATCTTGGGAGGAGATGAGTATGTTTTGTAGGTTAGAGACATGAATCATTGGCATTGAGGGTGGCCTGTTGTAAATTTTAGCAGTGTTAGTCCCTGTTGGATACCTCCCTGGATTTATATACTTGGACAGTCCTGGTCATATAGACTCTGGGCTTAGACATGTAACTTTATTTGGCCAATGAAACATTAGCAATTATAATGCAAGCAGGTGCTGAAAATGAGCTTTCTCACTGGGGAATTCTGTCTCTTGATCCTAGGGACTCCTTTTCCTCTATAAAAGGAAGCACAGGGTAGTCTGCTGAAGAAATATGGCTCAGGCACCTGCCAACATCACCTACCAGACACGTGAATGAAGTCAACCAGAAAACTGTAGCTACAGAGGTGACTCCATGGATATTAGCAGAAGAGTCACCCAGCTGAGCCCAGTTCCAGCTACTGACCCACAGAATCCCAAACTAATGAGATTTTCTAAGCTACTAAACTTCCAAGGTGTTTGTTTCACAGCAATTGATGAAATATATGAATTATCCAGTATCCATCCTGCCAAGTCTCCTATGCTACTAAAACAACAGTTAAACTAGAAGTATCCAGGGAGACGTTCTTGCAAAGTGAAGTCCACAAATACCCAGCAACAAAGAAAACTGCCAAGTAAGAGACAAGGAGCTTGAAGACGTGTCACAATGCATTCATTGCATTTCTTTAATTTTCCAGACAGAACTCTTGTGATTGAGCCCAATGTCTTCAAATGGCCAACATTTTTTTCTATGAAAAAGAATATACTCAGAGAAACAATAAAAGACAGAAGAGAAAAAACATAGAATTAAAACAAAGAAGATAGGAAGATAAAGAGAAGTTAGCCATGGTAAAAGCAGTGTCCTATAGGTAGATACTTAGAGGGGAAGATATGTAGGAACAGAAAGATCCTGCTGGACACATCAGGACCTTCTGTCTCTTCTACCAGTTCTCTTTAACTTTCAAAAGTAGCATCTCAAAGGCAAAACCCAGGCTTTCTAAAACAAAGCCCTCTTCTACACAACATATACAAATAAAACAATCTTTTGCTCCTTTAGTGGTCACTGGTTAGAGGAGATCATCCTGGGAATATTTTGCAGAGAACCTCTTAAGCCGTCATTGATTAATTGCTCTTATGTGTGTAGAAATCTGAAGAATGATGTGAGCAGAAGTACCCAAGTTTTCTTGACTTTTTGATTTCCTCTCTTCCAGGCTATCAGATTGGTCTCTTCTTTGCTTACCTAAGTATGTCCTTTAGAGGTAATTCTAGGGCCTAATTTTTCTTAGTTCTTGATTTAAGGAATTGAGGAGAAGAGATTGTCATAACTGGCTGTGTAACAATTTTCTCAGAGACCTGTTTCTCCCCTGTGGAGGTCTGGACTTGGAGTAGAGATGGTAATAAGAATCCCATTTCAGAGTAGATCTAATCTGTTTTCTTTAAAATATTTTTTAGTAGCAGTAAAGCAACTATTTTTCTCTTCATGTCTATTTCTTAAATTTTTCAGAGTCTACAATGGGTATGTGATTGCCAATCACAGAGACACTTAGCAGGAAACACATTAGAAATAATGCATCCTTATAACAATAAATACGGATTAGATTAAATCTGAGTGTAAAGTAAAGAAAAGTACATGGATTATTGTTCATAAATTAATAATAACTATCCGTTATTGGCCAACGGCTGTGTCTTAAAAACCTTAGATTCATCATATTTTGTCCAACTCTGCAAAATAGGGCTGACTACTGTTCTTATTTTATAGATGAAGAAACCTCTTAGAGACATTAACTTCTCCAAAGTCCAGAGACTTGCAGA
The DNA here is from genome assembly GCF_000001405.40 of Homo sapiens. Taxonomy (NCBI): domain Eukaryota; kingdom Metazoa; phylum Chordata; class Mammalia; order Primates; family Hominidae; genus Homo; species Homo sapiens. The sequence continues at coordinate 2,857,233 of NC_000010.11, read as the reverse complement.
AATAGAATTCAAACCCAGACCAGCTCAAATACCATGCCTGAGCTGGTATTTCCTGAGCTATTTCCTACGACGTTGTGCTACCTGTTTATCTCAGTTTTCTTTCTCCTTTCCCCTCCCCTTACCTCTCCTCCTTCCCTCCTCTCTCCTTTCCCTCCCTCCCTCCCTTCCTTCCTTTCTTGCATCCTTCCTTCCTTCCTTCCTTCCTTCCTTCCTTCCTTCCTTCCTTCCTTCCTTCTTTCCTTCTCTCTCTTTCTTATTAAAGAAATCTCAGAAGCAAAATTTTGGATATGGCTTATTCAGAACAACAGAAGGGCTGTGTTTCTCTTCTCCACAGTAGTAAATGCAGTGATTAAGATAATAAAATTACTCATCTTTGTCACCTTCGTCCAGATTAAAGAGCTGTCTGAACACTGAAACAGCACTTTTGTGATTAGGTTGATTGGTATTTATGATCCTTAATGAGACATAATACAGTCATTTGTCCAAACTGTGAGCATATCCTCAACCCAAGTTGTCACGTAGCCAAGTGGAAATTACACAGGGTGCAGACCGCATCACGGCAGTGCTATGTCCTGCAGGAGCACGATTTCAATAGCTGCCAGGTAGCTAATGTATTCATTCAGAACTGCCGTTTGTTTCTACTGAAGATGTTTGAATCTATCGAAATATACTTTTCAAATTGTTTTTTCAATTATACTTTTATTTCAAGAGAACATAGATTTACATGCATATATAAGAAATAATACAAAGATCCCGTGTGTCCTTTACTGAGATTCTTTCAATGATAACATTGAGCAAAACCATAATATAATATCATCATAGTATATCCACATTAATACAATCCACCAATCTTGTTCAGATTTCTTCAGTTTTACTTGCGCTTGTACTCATTCATGTGTGTGTGTATGTGTGTGTGTGTGTAATTTATTACAGGTGTAAGTTTGTGTACCCACCACCACGATCAAGGTACAGAACATCCCTTCACCACAGGGACCCTTTGAGTTGCTGTTTTCTCCCCCGCCCCAGAACCTCCTCCTGTCTTTAACCCTGTTTGCTCCTAACATGTTTTCTGTTTCTATAATCATACTAATTGAAGAATGTTAAATAAGTGGAATCAGACTGTATGTAACCTTTTGGAATGAGCGTTTTATTTCACTCAGCAGAATTATCTGAAGATTTACCTCAATTGTTGGATGTATTAAAATTTAGCACCTTTTTACTGCTGTAAAGTATTTCATAATATGCATGAAGCTTATTTTATTTACCTGTTGAAGGACATTTGAGTTGTTTCTAGTTTTTGCTGTCAGGAATAAAGATGACATAAACATTTGTGTAGGTTTTCTTGTGAATAAGTATTTAATTTTTAGGGATAAATACGCGACAATGCAATTGCTGAGTTATATGTTAATTACATGCTTATTTTTACGAGAAACTACTAAATTATTTTTTGGAGTGGCTGTACCATTTTACATTCCTACCACAATGTATGTGAGACCCGTTTCTTTCCACTCTTGCCAGTATTTTATCCTGTCACTACTCCTAAAGCCATTCTGACAGGTATGTAGCGTAGTGACATCTCATTTTGATTTTAGTATGCATTTTTTTTCTGATGGCTGATGAAGTTAAACATCTTTTCCTGTGATCACGTGTCATCTGTATGTCTTCAGTGAAATATCTGTTCAAATACTTTTGCTTATTTTCTTATTTGATTGTTTCTTATTTTTGAGTTTTGAGAGTTCATAGTACATTCTAGATACTTTTCCTTGACTTTTTTATGTAGTTTGAAAATATTCTCCCAGGCTGTAGTTTGTCTTATCATCCTCTTAACAGGGTCTTTTGCAGAACAAAACTTTTAATTTTGATGAAATCTAAGTTACAAAATGCACCCTTTTGTGGATTATAATTTTGATGTTAAATCTAAGAACTCTTTGCCTCATCCTAGACTCCAAAGATTTTTTTCCCATTTATTTTACAAATTTTATACTTAATGTTTAACTCTGTGATCCACTGAATTGATTCTTGTATCAGATGTGAGACTTAGGTTGACACTTTTATTTTGCCTGTGTTCAGTTGTTCCAGCACCATTTGTCGAAAAAGCTAGGCTTTGGCATCTTTGTGCAAAATATACCAATAAATGTGGTATATTTATGTAGATCTAATTGTGAATTCTCTCTTTGATTCCATTTATTTATATGTCTATCCCTTCACCAATACAGTACTTTCTGGATTATTGTCACTCTATAGTAATCCTTCATGTGGGGTGGAGGGTCCCCTCATTATTTTCTTCATGGTTGTCTTAGCTATTCTAGTGCTTGTGTCTATCTATATAAATTTGAGAATATGTTGTTCATGTCTACAGAAAATCTTGCTGAGGTTTTGATAAAATTTGCATGAAACTCATATACAAATTTGGGGGAATTGGCACCATTACTATGCTGAGTCTTCCCATAGAGGAACACAACAGATCTCTTCACTTGTTTATGTCTTCCTCGGTTTCTGTCTCTTGTATTTTGTAATGTTCAGCATACAGATCTTGGACATGTTCCATTTATACCTAAGGATTTCATTATCTTTGGAGCAATTTTAAACAAAATTTTCAGTTTTAATTTTTATATGCTTATTGTGAGTACATAGACATGAGACTGATTTTTATGTGCTGGTCTTGTATTCTGTGACGTTGGTAAATTACTGGGTGGATTCTAGGAGGGTCTTTAAAATAGTTTTTCTTTTTCAAAGATTCCCCGGGATGTTCTGCATAAGCAGTCATGCCACCTGCAAATAGGAACACTTAGTTTCTTCCTTTTCTTAGGTACACATTTTATTTTTGTCTTCTTACTCTACTGTGGTAGCCAAACTTCCTGTATGATGTTGAATCACAAAGGGTGAACATGGATGTCCTTGCCTTGTGCCTGATATTGGGGGAAGGAGTTCACTCTTTTGGTAACCATGGTGTTAGCTGTAGGTATTTTTAAATCACTCTTTATGGAATTTCAGTAGTTCCCATCTATTCCTAACTTCCTGGGAGTTATTCGTTATCACGAATGGATGTTAGATTTTGCCATTTGTGTATGTGCATATTAACTGATGTGATCATGTGGTCTTTCTTCTTTTTGACCTGTTGACAGGTGAATTACATTAATGGATTTCAAATGTTGAGTGAGCCGTGCATTCCTGGAATACACCCTACTTGGTCATGGTGTGTAATTCTTGCTGTACGTTTCTGGGTTTGATTTGTTAGTATTCTGTGGAGGAGTTTTGTATCTCAGCTCATGAATGATATTGGTCTGTAGGGGGATTTTTTCTTTTTTTGGTACCATCTTTCCCTATTTTTATTATCAAGAAAATGCCGACCTCATAAAGTGAATTGTGAAGAGAGCTCTTCTTTCAGATCACAGCAATTTGAATATAAAAACAAACAAGCAAACAAACAAAACAAACCAGAATGCGGTCCTCTGTATTCTCTGGAAGAGATTTTCTAAGAGTAGTGTAAACTCTTATTTAAATATTTGGTAAAAAATTTTCAGTGATGCCATCTGGATCTGAGATTTACTAGGAATATTGTAATTACAAATAAAACTTCGTTAGTGGTTATAGGACTATTCAGGTGCTCTCTTTCAGGTTGAGTTTGGGGAGTCTATTGTTTTCAAGCAGTTAGCTTATTTCTCCTAAGTTGCCAAATTTGTAAGTGTAAAACTTTTTGTTACATTCCTTTCTTATCTTTTTAAGGGCTGGCTGCAGGGTCTGTGGGATATTTTATTTTTACTAATATTAGTGATTTGCATTTTCTGTCTTTTTGTCTTTGTCTTTCTAGAGTTTTATGAGTTTTTTTTTAAGAATAACCATTTGGTTTTAATGATTTTTCTCGATTATTTTGTTATTTTCAATTTCAGTGGTTTCTGCTCTTATTTTTATTATCTTCTTTCTGCTTGTTTTGAATTTCTTTCTTTCTTTTATGTTTATGCAGTTTTTTCCAAACTTTTAAATTTGAATTAGGCTACAGAAACCACTCCTTTTATATCTAAGTAAAAACACACCCAGTGTGTTCCCAGGGGGATAAGTAGAAGCGACTTTTCACATTAGAAATTTAACCATTTATCAATCAAGTATTTGTTGAGTAACAACTAATTGGCACAGTTCCAGATTCATTATGTGTTTTGGTCAACTGGGCCCAAAGCTATAGAATAAATAGGTCCTGTAGTAGCACTAATAATATTTTAGTTAGTCATTTGGACATATAATTCTAATATGTAAAATTTAATATTATGGCCTTATGGTTATTTTTCAACAAGTTAATTAAATTTAATATTTCATATTCAAACTAAAAGGACATTGGAAAATGTGTTAATTTTATCACTTATTGGTTATTTCCTCCAGTACAGAACTAAATTGAGTTGAAAAGCAGCATGAAGATGTGACTCAGCCATCTCAGTACTTTCTTTGACTTTTTATGTGTCCCCAGATTATTTTGATGGAATTCATATGTAAATACAATGCATATATTCATTTTAAAAAGCCATATAATTATTTGTTAATAGCAGTAACATTTCCTCTTTTTTCCCTATCTCATAGATTCTTGCAGTTAAAACAATCATAGCTACAAATAGCATATCCCAAAGAATATGGGGTTACTTCTTCAACGAGGCATTTTTTAATGATTTATCTAACAGCTTGACTTCAACAAACACTCAGTGTTTGTTGAAATGTGATATTTAAAAGGTTTTGAGTTTGTGGATTATTTTGCAGTGACACTGGGGAATGGGTGGATTTGATCAATTACAGGTTAATTCTCCCAACACAAAAATTACTTGTATAAAAAACTCACATGAAGATATGAATATTAGGTCTGCCTTATGAAAATATTTTTCTATTTAGCAGATTGTATTCTATCTTTTATTAATTTACTTACTTTTTTATTCCTTTATTTAGTATATAGCCCTTATATACTAAAATTATTCATTTATTTAGTATTTTTTTAAGGAAAATGTCATTTACAAACAGAAAACTATCACAGCTTTTATAAAATTCTCAGTCTGTTGAGGCAGGCAATAAAAGCAAACAGTCATTAAGTACTACTCCGTACCAGGCACTGTTCTAATTTCCCAATGCATAGTAACTCATTTTTGATCTTATAATAACCATATAAAGTTGGTACTGCTATTATTCCCTTTTTAATGGTAAGAAAAACTGAGTGACAGAGAGCATTTATTAAGCATTTAATAGCTGTAGCTGTTAAGCTAAAGATTACACATTCTTTAATATTGGATATTTTAAAAAATCACATTGTGATGGAATAGAAGAGCTTTCTTTCTTTTAAAATATCAGTATTATAATCATTGCCAATGCTTGACTAGCTTGTCTGTTTGTTTTGGTAAATTCACAGGGTACTTAATGAGCAGACTTTGCCAAACCTGCAGTTTGGCCTCAGAAGCAAATTACATCAACTGCTGCTCCTGAGCCAGAGCCCCTCAGGGTTCCACTTACAACCTGAACTGCGTGCTTAATGGACTGTGCAGTCCTCCCCATTTGTCCTGCATGAAAATGCAAATATGTACGTGTGTGTATGCAAGTGTCACTTGCACCAGTTTTAAAGCATGCTAAATTTAATGATAATCAGACAAAAACTCAGGTATACGCTTTTAAAAAAATTTTTAAAAAGTTAACTCTGGCTTTAAAAAAAACGAGGAAAAGAGAAAAATGACAGGAACACAATACATATTAATGATATCATTGTTGACAGAGATCCCATAATATTAGTGCAAGACACACATAAGCAGGGGAAGGGTTTGCCTCCCATTAAGAACTGATTCTACCTTAATTGCTTTTTCAGTCAAGTCGTCTGCAGAAAAAGACACATACAGTTAACTTTAGAGAATGATGATGACTCTGTGAAGGCAGAAATGAAACTCTTGATTTTATGATGGGGCCGAGAAGAGGAGGAACTTTTATCTAACCCGTAAGAAAAGTTTTTATGCATAAGCAAACAGAACATCATAAGAGTAATAATAAAAATGCAAAATTGCTTAAGGGACCTCATGAGATCATTCGGAAGTGATGAAATGTAATTCAGTTCCATGCAGTGATCATTTACTGATAATCTCTTAAGTGTAAGGCCCTACTTACTAGACCATGGGGGACATATAAGAACAAGAGATAGAATCAATCCATCAAATAGGCCCATCCTTTCCTTGGGGAACTTCGAGCAATTATCAAGTAAGTGTTTCCCATCTGAAACGGTCAGGTGCTTGCTCCATCGTTGCTGATTCTCTGGTCCACAGATCCAGGGGACTGCTATGGTCTGAATATTTGTGTCTCCCCAAATTCATAAATTGAAACCCCACCCCCAAAGTGATGGTTTTAGGAAGTGGGGACTTCAAAGGTGATTAGGTCATGAGCATGGAGCTTCCATTAGTGAGATTAGTGCCCTCAGTAAAGAGACCCTGGAGAGCTCCCTCACCGCTTCCACCATGTGAGGACACAGTGAGTAGACGAGTAGATGCCATCTGTGAACCAGGAAGCAGGTCCTCACCAGACACCGAATCTGCCAGGACGTTGATCTTGAACTTCCAGCCTCCAGAACAGTGAGAAATAAATTTCTGTAGTTAATAAGCCTCCCAGCTTATGGTATTCTATAATAGCAGCCAGAGTACACTCAGATGGGGCCTGTCCTTTACCTACAACTATCCCGTTGGGTTGTGAATTAGAGGCCCCTGCACCGTGATGTTCTTGTGGAGTGTGGACCCTTCCCCATGGCACTCTCATGCCATTCCCCTTCCTGTATTGTATCAGTGCACAACGCAGGCAACTGTGACAGTAGGGGCTGTGTGGTGGTGCATCTTTGATCTCACGTCACAGTTCTTCCTCTGGACCTGCCATGCCCTTTGGTCGTAGTGGGTGCTTTTCACCTGCCATGCACATGGTTAATGTTTGTGAACACTAAGTTCTGATGTTGTGGATGAGAAAGGTTGGGATTGTCAATAAAGAGGAGAGCAAATTGTGCAGCTACAAATAAAATCATGCAACACCTCAAGAATCCGTGTTAGAAACCATCATATATATTTGTGCATATATGTATTTATACATATGTACATTTTTTCCAGGAAGCTTGTGAGTCCAGATACACATCAAATCCATATCCATGGTTTACAAGTGGCAGAAGGCCAAGGTACTGGCAGTCCCAAAACGAACTCCTACATTTTACCAGAAATTTGAGAATCTTAAAAATAAATTGAAAACAAATGAGCACATTGCATATTAGAATACACGTTTTCAAAATTTCTAAAGCTGGTATCATGAGACTTTAAATAAATGTAGGGTCTATGGTGGCTTTTAGGGTCCTTGGGCACCAGCTACCAGGGGTATTTCTTGGGGGGTCTTGCTGCCTGGCTAAGTGGACCTTAATGAACAATCAACAATGAATGAATGAGCCACAGTGAATGAGCCACAATTGCCCCCCAGTGTCCCGGGATTCCACAGAAACCAAGGCCCTGAGGTTAATTTGGAGCAAACATGCAAAGTGACACTGTGATTAAGTAATACAGCAAGTTCCTCTTGACTCCTTAATTTCAGTTAATTACATACAAATCTTATCAGCTAAAAAGTAGTTTTATGCCGGGCGTGGTGGCTCACTCCTGAAATCCCAGCACTTTGGGGGGGCCGAGGCGGGCAGATCACGAGGTCAGGAGATCGAAACCATCCTGGCTAACACAGTAAAACCCCGTCTCTACTAAAAAATACAAAAAAAATAGCCGGGTGTGGTGGCGGGTGCCTGTAGTCCCAGCTGCTTGGGAGGCTGGGGCAGGAGAATGGCATGAACCCAGGAGGCAGAGCTTGCAGTGAGCTGAGATCGCGCCACTGCACTCCAGCCTGGGCGACAGAGTCAGACTCTGTCTCAAACAAACAAACAAACAAACAAAAAAGTAGTTTTAGAGGATGCTAAAATTTGTTTAACATATTTAGGTGCATTTTAAAAATTAAAATATAACTCACATACATAAAAACACAAAAATCATTAAGTATACAGCTTGCTAAATTCTCAGCAGGTAAGTTCACTGGTGAAGCCGAGTCCCAGATATAAAACAGGGTGTTCCGTGGACCCTTTGCTTCACCGGTCACCAGGCGCTCAAGGAGATCTCTCTCCTGACTCCTACGATCATCAGCTCCTTGATCTTGTCTGTGACTTTTGCATACGTGGTATTGTAAAATGTGCACACTGGGTTTCTAAGAGTCATTGATACAACCATGAGAGATGTACTTATGAAAAGGGTGTTGTCTCCTAAATAAGTAAAATAAATAACTTTATAGAAGGCAATATTTATTTATACAACTTTCTGCCTTCAGCATATTTTTAAACCATGGATGAAAAAAAAAAAAAAAAAACAGAAAAGAAAAACCCCTCTCCCTTCCATCTCTGATTCCAGCAAGTTTTGCTGGGAAGGGATTTTCCTTGTCAGGAATGACCTCCGGCTCACCTCTAAATTACTCCAAGTCTGTACTTGAGGAGGGGTTTAAAAGGGAAAGGGGAACGACATTTCCATCCTGCTTTAAAATGTAGAGGAACTTCTGTTGGCGTGTTAGTTTGCTGAGGATAATGGCCTCCAGTTCCATCCATGCCCCTGTAAAAGACATGATCTTTTTCCTTTTTATGGCTGCATAGTATTCCACAGTGTGTTTGTACCATATTTTCTTTATCCAGCTTATCATTCATGGGCACTTATAAGTAGGAGCTGAACAATGAGAACACATAGATACAGGGAGGGGAATCACACACACCGGGGCTGTAAGGGGGGTGGAGGGGTGGGGGAAGGGAGAGCATCAAGATAAATAGCTAACACATACTGGGCTTACTACTTAGGTGATGGGTTGATAGGTGCAGGAAACCACCATGGCACACGTTTACCCATATAACAAACCTGCACATTGTGCACATGTACGCCAGAATTTAAAATAAAAACAAAAATGAAGTAGAGGAACTTGCTGTGGAAGTTTTTATTGTCATGTGGTCTCCCCTTCAATAAAGGTAAGGATTAAATTTGTTTTGATATTTCACTCTGACCAAGACATGGTCTTCTCTCTCTGTTAGTGCTTACAGGAGATTACTTCTGACATTCACATTTACTCAGCTTCTTATTAGCGGTTCCTATCTGGTGAATTTGTTTATAACTAAGTGAAATAGGCAAATTTCCTGAAAAATAAATACCCCATTATAAACTTTAACCCATTATTATAAATAGCCAATGCAAGCTGGGCTTAATACCTAGGTGGTGGGTTGATAGGTGCAGCAAACCATCATGGCACACGTTTACCTATATAACAAACCTGCACATCCTGCACATGTACCCTATATAACAAACCTGCACATCCTGCACATGTACCCTATATAACAAACCTGCACATCCTGCACATGTACCCCGGAACTTAAAATAAGTTACATGTAATAATTGCTGATCTCTTGCATTACCTTATATTATCTTTTCTTTCTTTCTTTCTTTCTTTCTTTCTTTCTTTCTTTCTTTCTTTCTTTCTTTCTTTCTTTCTTTCTTTCCTTCTTTCTTTCCTTCTTTTTATTCTTTTTTTGAGATGGAGTCTCGCTCTGTGGCACAGGCTGGAGTGCAGTGGCATGATTTTGGCTCACTGCAACCTCCGCCTCCCGAGTTCAAGCAATCCTCCTTCTTCAGCCTCCTGAGTAGCTGGGATGACAGGTGCTGGCCACTACGCTCAGCTAATTTTTTGTATTTGCAGTAAAGATGGGGTTACACCATGTTGGCCAGGCTGGTCTCGAACTCCTGACCTTAGGTGATCTGCCCACCTCAGCTTCCCAAAGTGCTGGGATTACAGGCGTGAGCCACCATGCCTGGCCTCTTATATTATCTTGTTCAACTTGATAAGCAAGATTATTTTAGTAACTAAGCTGAAAATGGCTGCAGTGAAGATGAGGCCGTGGAGGCCATCGTGTCTGAAATACTAGTGCTGCTCACATCTAGACCTGCTCATCTAGATATACAGAATTTACACGGAGTTATCTGGATATTTGCCAACTCAGTTTTCTGTTTTCCCTTTTTGGTTAGATTCGTGTATTAATATTTGGGACCTCTGCTGGGTTTGTTGGCCTGCTGGGCTGGCTCTGCTTAATAAAATCCCTTTATACATTGAAAGGATTAATCTTCATATAGAGAGTATCTCTTACGGTGCTTAAGAGAGAAATACGTTTTAGGTTGGTTCAAAATGTTTGAGAAAGTCTTAGAATATGTATTTTACAGAGGTGAATCATGAAGCCATTCACATTGTGAACATTCTTTTTTATTGTTTATATTTCTCAACATAAATCTTCAGTCAGGACACATTGATGACCTGTGCATATTAATTTCCAACTATGGTAAGTTATTACAATATCTCAGAATTTGAGGATATCTGTAAATCTTTTCTGAGCTATTGGATCAAAATTTCCTGAGATTAATTATATTTTCCCTTGATAACACAGTCTGAGCAGGGAACATTCACTCACCAAGTACATATGTCTGTATGTGTGTCTGTTTGCTTCTCAGGGTTACAAAAAAGAAGGCAGAGATTGCATGCTAGAACAAAATACTGTGTTATATTCTGAAATCTTCTTTCTGTGAAATGTTTAAAAATAAGTTAACATCTTTATATCTTTATTGTGTATTGTATGAAAATGTATTATGCTGTATATTTAAATACCCCATTGAACTCAGAATTTTAATTCTCAGAATGCCATCAGTATTAATCTGGAATGCTTTATTGAACAGGATAGTTGGTCCGGGGTATTGTTAATTAAGCATCATTTATTTCTCATTGCTCCAATATAGATGTTTCTTTGGTGACTAATTTTGAAATTCCCTTGAGCCTATGTAGGTCCTCATCCCAAAATACTTCTGTTTTAATAACAGGTATTTCCATGTTTTAACTAACTATTATAGCAAATGAAGCAAATATTCTATGATTTCTTCTTGAAGTTATTTTCTTTGAACTCTTATTTTATAATTTGAGTCTTTCATGTGGGAGTGAAATGGTTTTTTCTCTCTCTCTCTCTCCCTCTCTTTTTTTGTCCAGGCTGCTAGAAACACGGAAATGGAGTGGGGAATAGTTAGAATTTATGTCAGGTTTGTGATTTCATTAAAATAAAAACTTCCATAGAGCTCATCTTCAACTCTTTCAGTGGATTTTTGTCTCCTCTCGATTCATTGTGTTATGACCTGGTGACCTGACAAGAGCTTTGCTTTTCTTGACCACATTGAATTGGGATCATCCAGGTGATGTGGACCAGTTCTCGTGCCAGAGTCTGCCTCTCAGCGGAGATTGAGGATGCGATAGAAAGAACCAATAGCAGACAACTGCATTTCCAGGGCAGAGGTGATTATCTCTGCATCGGATTGTTTATTTATGTATTTTGTTATTTATGTATTTTACTGATTATCTTTTAAGTGTAAGGCCCTACTTACTAGACCATGAGGGACACATAAGGACGGAAGATAGAAACAATCTTTCAAATAGGCCCATCCTTTCCTTGGGGAAAGTCGAGCAATTATCAAGTAAATGTTTCCCATCTGAAAATGGTCAGCTGGGTTTCTCCATCATTACTGATTTTCTGGTCCACAAATCCAGGGGAACTGCTATGGTCTGAATATTCGTGTCCCCCTGAAACTTATATGTTGAAACCCAACCCCCAAGGTGATGGTGTTAGGAGGTGAGGACTTGGAAGGTGATTAGGTCACAAGCATGGAGCTCCCATGAATGGGATTAATTAATGCCCTTATTTGAGAGACCCTGGAGAGCCCCCTCACCCCTTCCGCCATGTGAGGACACAGTGAGTAGATGAGAGTGGGGAAGAGTGCAGGCTCCACAAGAGCATCACAGCGCAGGGCCCTCTCATTCCCAGCCCATCGGGATCGTTGCAGGAAGAGGACTGTGACCACCTTAATCTGCTCCGGCTGCTATAACAAAATACCATAAGCTGGAGGGTTATCAACTGCAGACATTTGTTTCTCACTGTTTTGGAGGCTGGAAGTTCAAGACCAAGGCCCTGGCAGATTTGATGTCTAGTGAGGACCTGTTTCCTGGTTCACAGACGGCATCTGGTTCACGCTTACTCTAAGCTAGGACTAGACCTAAGCTCTCTGGGCATTAGTGCACTCATCCCTCACTGCAGCCCTGTGCAGCTGGTGCCCTTATTACCACGACTTGAAAATGAACTGGGGCACAGAGTGGTTAAGTAACTGTCCAAGGTCGCAGAGCTACTAATGGGTGAGAAAGATGAGAGCCTGACCTGTCTGGCTTCAGAGTCCATGAGTTTAAACACTGCGCTGTGTTCCCTGACCTATCTTTCCTGACGTGGAAATTGATCATCTTAATTAGGTCAACAGACTTCACAATGGTTAGGCCTATGTCCCTGATCTCTACCAAAAAAAAAAAAAAAAAAAGAAAAATGAAATAAATCATAACTCAGAGTTACAGGAAAAAAAATGCTGCCTATGTGGCAGATCATATTTACAAGGCAAGGAAAGGCATTATCAATGGAAACCTTTTTTTCTGATTTGTAACTGGAAAAGGTTTTCAAAGAAGTTCTCAACCTTTCAAAATACTTTCAATGCCTTTCAGCAGAGGCTAAGAGTATGAAAAATGAAAGTGATGAAATTATGTTGATTGCATTAATGCCGTCTCCAAGAGCAGAGAAGAGCTATCACTGGAAGTGGTGGGAAGGCATGAGTAGACCAGAATTCATTATTTGATAGGCTTCATCTATTCCCAGTATTCTTTTTCTTTTAAAAAAAAATGCCATCTTTTCTCTTTCATTGTGATGGAATTGATAGGAAAATATATTGAAATAGTGACATATATCATTTCATTCTTTTTCTGTGAAAAGATTCGGCTAAAGTTACAGCTACCAAAAAGTTATAATTCTCACCCCGGTTCTGAGTTCAGAGGAAATTGGCTCAGATGTCACTGATTTGCTGCTGTGTGTGTGTGTGTGTGTGTGTGTGTGTGTGTAGGCGATTTCAGGTAACTAAATTAACTTCTTTTTGTTGTTGCTGTTGTTTTTGTTTTATTTGAGGAGTTTTTGCTCTGTCGCCCAGGCTGAAATGCAGTGGCACAATCTTGTCTCACTGCAACCTCTGCCTACAGGGTTCAAGTGATTCTCCAGCCTCAGCCTCCCGAGTAGCTGGGATTACAGGCACCTGCCACCACTCCCGGCTAAGTTTTGTGTTTTTAGTAGAGATGAGGTTTCACCATGTTGGCCAGGCTGGTCTTGAACTCTTGATTTCAGGTGGGCCTCGCCACCTTGGCCTCCCAAAGTGCTGGGATTACAGGAGTGAACCACCACACCTGACCTAAATTAACATCTGAAGTTGTGAAATGTTTGAGCCTATGGAATTGTGCTTACTTGATTTTCAGTCTAGGGATTGGCTTCGGGCTGAAAGTCATTTTCCAGTTGGTTTCATAGAGGCTGAGAAGGGGACACAGGAAAGCCGAACACTTTTCCATCATCAGGAATGTTTTTCTGTCACCAGGACTATTTCTGGTTACTACCACTCTTCATATTTTTAAGCACTACTATAGGTTTACATGAAGACTTTTGAATTTTTTATAACTTATAGCTCCAATGCATCCCTATAGTTTCAGTAATTTTTGCCAGGATACCAAATCGGATGTGTGATTTATGTTCTTATGTTTAAATCATTTGTTTTCTAATGTTAAGGGCATTCCAAATGTTTCAGACTTCCAAATCTGTGATGTTTCTGCCTGCCACGCACTGGAACGTTCTTCCATATATGAGGAAGGGCGGGAGGAACACACACACACCAGAATCATGGCCGAAGACCTTGGGGGCACATTAGAAGTCGGCAATGTGTCAGCTGGTGTACTCATCACGTCTTACACTGTCCTGGCTTACTTTGCACACCTGACTTTAAAAATTATATTGTACATACTCCACTCACCTCATGGGGCTATTGTGTAAGTCAAAGGAAATGGTGTATGTGAAGCTGCCATGTAACTGAAAGCCAAAACAATGGGTGTGCTCAGGCACTCACATATAATACGTGGGTGCATGAGTGATTCTTTGAATGATTCTGGAAGGATGCAGAGAAACCTACAAGAACGCATAACATACAATGATTACTCAAGAGGAGGATGACAGGAGCAGGAGTGGGTACCAGGAGTGAGCATGAGGGATGAGGCTGGAAGAGCATCTTCCTGAGCCGCACACTTGCCCGGAGACAACAGTGGCCCAGGGGTGTGGCTGGCCTCCTTCAGTCCCATCCTCCTTCCTTGTCTTGCAGAGCCTGGGCCTTGTTCCTGTGTCTCTCACTTGTAACTCAGGGAGGGCAAACCTTTTCCCTGGTTGTTGTGAACCAAGATGGGTGACACCATGTCCACCCCAGTAACTGGACAAGCAGCCCCAGGAAATGAAGGATCCTAAGATGAAAAGCCTGGAAGGGACAGAAGACATTCTCCCTGGATTTTGCATTGTCTAGGTGTGACTCCCAGAGCTTCCTCAGCTCTGGAGTCACAGGCTTGATGGTGGAACCAAGGAATACAGGAAGAGAAGGGAAGTGAGAGGCCAGCTGGCCACATTTAGAGGCACCTTGACTCTTGGAGAAAACCCCTCATTATCAGAGCTGATTTGAACTGGGTTGATCATTAACTTGTAGCAAAAAGAATATGTCCTGATTCCATGTAGTCATCATGTTTTTGGTTGGATGGTTCAAACAGTCAATGAAATAAAAACTATAACTGTTAACCATTCATTCTGAAGAAGTACAACTATGGCTAGACAGAAATTTCTCCTGTGGCTCCTAAGGAGAGCTCTGTGAGTGATGTCACAGAAATGCCATGATGATGTCCAGGCAGGAGAGGCTGTGGGGCACAGAGGGCCCTTCTCACACCAAGCATCCTGTACACCACTGCATCCACCACACCAAAGACAAAGCCACCAGCCACAGCTGCCAGGGCTCAGCACAGTGCTCTCCAGGCTGGACACCAGGTGTAGGCCCTCATATCCTTTAATCCTCGTTACCAAAACACCAGGGGTTAGGTCTAGGTCCCGCAGCTCACAGTGGCACAGAAAGCCAATCACTGAGGCTACTACTGCCAGGGAAGAAGGCTTTATTGGGTGCTGCAGCTGAGGAGATAAGAGATCAGTCTCAAATCCATCTCCCCGGTGGAGTAACATTAGGGTTTTCTCTGGCAGGGAAGAAATGTAACCATGTGTGGGAAAATGGGAGCCAGGGAGGGGTGAGGAAGAGGAATTGATCAACAGGCAGCAGATGGGTGGTTAGGCAGTCATGGAGGGCGAGGCCTCTGGCCTCTCATTGACAGATGTGGGGACCTGGTGAGTTTGAGCTCCTTGACACCATCTGGGAGGACTGATGGCTGGTGTCCTGAGAGAGAGACTCAGGTAAGACAAATCTCCATTTCTCAAGTTTTGAGACTAGGAGGGTCCATTTTTATGTTCCTTGAAAAGAAACCATACACCTCAGTTGTATGAGACAATCGGGCAGGTTTTATGCTCAGCCAAGCAGGTGAAGGTGAGTGTCCATGCCCATTCCTGGGTGCTGAGGGCCTGAACAGGCCATGTGCATGAAGGAGAGGCTTGGATCTTACGAAATAAGAACAGAAGGTGACTCTCACCTGCAGTGAGGCAAGTGCAGAGAGCACCTCAACCCGGTGGGTGCAGGATTCTCCCTAGAGAGTTCTTCGGCTCTTCCCCAGTGTGTAGACAGGAGCCCACGGCACACAGCGTGGGAAATGGAGCATGCTGTGTAACACCACATGCAATGCTGCCCCTGAGCCTACACGGGGTTAATTATCCACAGAGCTAACGAGAGAGATGGCCAGCAAAAATCATCATGGCCCTTACCTATGGTGGTGGAGGTGGGAGTGGCGACATTTTCTCCCCGGTAATTTTTGATATGATTTGGATGGTTGTAATGAATGCACAGCACTTTTGTAAAACTAACAGCCTCCTTTCAAAAATGGATCAACTTATAAAGATAAAATTGTTTGATTTTGGGGTTTTTATTTAGGGTGGTTCTTTCTAATAATAAATTTGGCAAAATAATCAGTAGGCTGTTTGGGATATTCATAGTTTGAAATAATGCAACCATATAATTTGGGAAAATGGGCACTCTTGTCTTTGTGTTCTGTATTGCAGGGAGAGGTGCATGGATCTAATTAAGTCCAAAACAGCATCACATGAGAACAAGCCGGGATTTATTAATGATCAGGACACCATGTGAAATTCATCTCCTTGACCTTAAATATTGAGATGACTAGAAAGAAATCCAATTTATTTGCTAAATCAAGAGATGGATTGTCTTACAGCCATATCTCGTCTATGTATCCTAAGCCTCACATTTATGATAATTTATTTTGAAAAATCAGCACATAAATATAATGTCAAGTTTTTTGTGGAGAGCCTACTCATCCTGAAATATTCTCACTTGTGTCATGAACACAGGTGTGCTGTAAATTTAAATGACATCTTAAAACATTTTTAATTCTGATGAGATGTAACAAACCTTCATAGAAGGGGCTGCTCCTCTGTTCTGCTTGACCCACAGATATTGGTAAACTGCAAGCTTTCTATTTCACTCTGTCTACATTCGCCCGTATTTTGTTGGAAAACAATGAATTTGGGGACAGGAAGATCTGGTTTAAACCCAAATTCTTTACTTTCCGCCCCTGTAAACTTGGCCAACACATCTCATCTCTCTGAGCCTCCCTGTAAAATGTTGATAATGGCACCATTTTAAGATTGATGATAATGTATATGTTTTGCCTGCCACAGTGTATGTGATCAATAAATAGTGGCCATTATTCCTTGCAAAAAAATATCTACCCGATGATGGGATATTGGATTAAGAATCAATGAACAAGAATGGAGTAAATAGCTCATTTTTAGACAATGAAGACTATGTCATTTAGGGCACAGACACTCATATTCTCTGAAGCAGGAGGTGATATCTCGGCCAACCTTCCCAACAAAAGGGGAGCATGTGGGGACAAGTGAGATGGTGTTGGGAGAGGCACAGTCCCGTGCAACAGCAAATTGTCTTTCCATAGGGGTGAATGATCATCTAACAACACTTTAAAATAATTATCTATGATAAGACCTGTGGGTCTTACAGTTTCAGAACCAATGGAACTTTGACTTATATCTTGCAATTTTTGTAGCGGATTTCATGTTTGTATATGTTTTGGTCAATTCCGTCGTTCTTTTTATCTCTTTGGGAAAATGGATTTTACCCTCCAGCATATAATGAGGCAGGCTGGGCAGGAAGCTGGGGGGCATAGACCCCCTTGCTAGGGCTCTGTGATGCCCAGCAGTGTCTTGGAAGCACCTCTGCCTGTCCAACCTCTTTTTGACACTTACTCTTATTTTACTTCAACTTATCCATCACCAAACGGGATTCCCTTTAGCATGGTAAACTATGGACTCCATCTGTTGCTTGTTCTATGAAGATACAGAACAGACCCGGGCAGTCACTTCCTCCATGTTACTGTCTAGAGGCTGAAGGACTGGAGCAATATCCCCAGCATTGCAATGTCCACTGCTAGCTCTTCCCTGCTGACCTGGGGTCATTGGCACAATCTGACCCCTTCCTCTGGAGCCACCTCCTCTAAGAACTCTCCCTGTTGTCCTGATCCCAGCCCTCCTTTTCATCCCTCTCTTATGCACAGCATCCCCGTGTCACTCCATCCTGGCTCCTCCATAGCACTTGTGCCGTGCTGTCCTCTGTTTACACCACCACTGGATCCTGGGCTCCTGGGGGGTAAAGAAGACGTGTGTCTCATTCGTCTTTGCATTTCCAGTGTCTAGAAGGTTGCCTGGCACATCGAAGCAGCATGGGTATCATCTGGAGTAGCATGGTCATCGTGTAGTGACTGAATGCAGGGCTGGAATCCCGTTCACACTTCACTGCGTCGCCCTCTGGTGGCCAAGATAACCCAGCCATGAGGACCCAACCGTTGTTGAAAGGAGACACCTGGCTTCTGCTCACGCAGGGAACGTAGAGTTTACTGTCATACCTGAGAGGCTTTGAGACAGAAACCATACGCAGGGGCCGCAGGTGCATCCAGGGGGTGTGTGGTCACCCTAATCACAGGGCATGAGAAAGACGGTGGAGGCAAACGACACCAGCGAATTGATCCAAGTCAAAGCAGTCATTTCCAATAACAGAGGGGCTGGGGAAGAGCTGGGACAGCTCAGCAGAGGTCTGTTGCTTGAAAATTCCAGAGCCCAACTCAGGATAACTTGAGCAAATGGGGAGGAATCGGGGATGGAAAACGTGGTAGGAGATCTGGTATGAAAGTGAGTAGAAAGCTTGTGGATGGTGCGGCAGTAGGGATGGTCTCCTCCAGGAGTTAATGAACTTGAAGTCAGTGGACTTCAGGATGCAGAACAATGAACAATGAAGTGGACTTCAAAGGAACCACTACTAATTGTCCTTCTCCCTGTTTCTCTGCCCCCAAGAATCCTAGTGACAGGGAGAAGGCTTCCACTTGGACTTGCTTGGGTCCATGAGCCTGCCTTCCCTCCTAGGCTAGGTGAGGGTTGCCTGCCTGTTGAGTATTCAGTTAGACTTCACATAAGAGAAAGCAGTAATTTTCCCAAGCGGAAACCAGGGTATTTTCGACTCTCATTGTTACCTCTTTGGACTTCTTCTCTATCTAGAAATACACTAGCTCTAATTGTGAGCAATAGCAATGTTGAGACACTTGCTTAACCCATTTTTGCTTATTTGCTACTTCTTAATTATCATTATGAGATCAATAATAATTACGAAACTACAGAAATATAAACAATCATGACATTAAACGCCAATAATATAAAACTTTTGGATATGACCTTCTTTAACGAAAGGACAAGGGCTTTCCTCATAAAAGCTTTCGTTACCAAATTGAGGACATGATTGAAGAGTTGAAATCAACTGTATTTATTTATTTTTGTTCCATAGACGATTGTGCTTTTTTTTTTTTTTTTTGGTGTGGCATCAGCTGACTATATTTCAGAATAAATATGTTGATTAAGTTAAAATGCACAAATGGGAAATGAAAATTATGTAAATTCCCTTTGTTTTTCTTGTGCTTTTTTTGTTAAGGAAAACATAAGCAATGCATGAGTAGGCACTGTAGTCTAATCACACTTTATCATGTAAATGCATATTTACAAAATTTTAAAAAGGTGGATTATGCAAACTATTGTAGGGACATACAAAAAAAATGTAGATTATTTACCAGCCAGAAAATTATGCATTTAAAAACATGTTGAAACGCTTACTCTTCACGTGAAAAACCCTAAGTGCTCCTCCTCACTGGAATGGTTGATCACACCAGTGTGTGCTTTATTTAGACAAAATATGCAGGGGAAATTCTTAAGCGATGAGAATCAAAATGTGTGCAAGAGCCGTCAGTTTCCAACGTTAAATGTGATCGTTTTCAATTTCCTGCACGGTTTTCTTTAAAATAATCACCCCTATTCTTGGAGATGTTTCTAGGATTCCTTCTCTAGAATAAGGAAAAATCAGGTACTAATTTAGGGGAAAATATATATACAAATAAGCTTTCCCGGAACTCGTTTGTGTCAGGGTTTCCACTCTTGGAGCCTTAGTTTTCCTTTACATTTTCTCCCCTGTCTCCTGATGCTTAAGTGCCCAGGGGGAGTGCTGAACAGGCAGGGTCAGGCTGCTGTGAGATGCGGTCTTCACATCACCCTCCCAGGACACTGGCGCTCACTGGCACAATGGGTTGTGCTGCCTGGAGAATTCCCTGGCATGAGCTGGCCGGTGTGCTGGGAGCAGAGACCCGAGAGCTTGGAAGGAGAGCACCGTTCGCTGGCCTGTGGGATCCTTTGGAGAATGAGGGGACCTGTGAGAGCTGGAGAGCCCCCACTTCCTAGCTTAGGGAGAAACTTCCTGCCTGAGCACTCCAAGAACTGCCAAGGCTTTCCCAAGTCCTGTTCTTACCTTTGGGGGCAGCCACAGACAACTTCAGTTCCTGTTCCCTGTAGGAGGTGAGGCTGGGCGTGGGCACTGTCCTGGCCTAGCGGCCCTCAGGACTGCGGGTGCCGTGGCAGAGCAGCCACGTGGCCCGAGAGGCGCGCCGGGGGCCGGGGGCCGCTGTCTCACGGGTCTGAAGGCCCCAGTTAACAACAGCTCTCTTTTCTCTACCCTCATTTAAGAAATGCTTGAGAAGCAGACAAGAGTCGGGAAGATACAGAGCAAAATATCATTTTTATACGGATAAAGCTGTGGGAAAATGTGGATTGTTGGCCAAGTGGGTGTCTTCATACTTCACCTCCAAATTAAAAAGACTTACTGTGGCCGGGTTCGGTGGCTCACGCCTGTAATCCCAGCACTTTGGGAGGCCGAGGAGGGTGGATCATGCGGTCAGGAGATCGAGACCATCCTGGCTAACATGGTGAAACCCCGTCTCCACTAAAAATACAAAAATTAGCCGGGCGTGGTGGCGGGCGCCTGTAGTCCCAGCTACTCGGGAGGCTGAGGCAGGAGAATGGCGTGAACCCGGGAGGCGGAGCTTGCAGTGAGCCGAGATTGCACCACTGCAGTCCAGCCTGGGCGACAGAGCGAGACTCCGTCTCAAAAAAAAAAAAAAAAAAAAAAAAAAAAAAAAAAAAAAAGGAAAAAGAAAAGACAATTTACTTGCAAAATCACAGCACATTGGCTGCAGTGACCAACAGCCCAGCAGGTTCTGCCTCTAAGAATCACTGCACAGAGAGGCACCGCTACACGCTTGCTTCCGGCAGGCAGCGGCTCCCATAGTTAGAGAAAGCCAGAGCTGATTCTCCCAACGTCTTCCAGATCTAGACCTGCCAGTCAGATGACCCAGGGCGGGCGAAGGGCAGGAGACCCAGAAGAGCTCTTCTTACGGAGGGTCTTCCCCTGGAAAAAGGAAGGAAAGAAAGCAAGCTCCCTCCCCGATCCCAAGGCCAGACCTTCGGAGGTAGAAAAATGCCTGATCATAGTCGTGTGTCTGTGTGGGGAGATTAACCTCTGCTCATCGGCCTGTGCTCACAGCCAAGGTCTGTGCAGATACAAGCGCGATGCAAGGCGGAGCCTCTGATTTCAGGAGATTGCAGCCCAGCTGCAGTGATAAAACGCATGGGACAGCTTAGGGAACAATTTACAACGTATTATTAACCACTCAAATGAAAGAGATGGATGGCAGGAGGTTTATAAACTAAGAGAGGAAACAGGGCAGGCCTCAGCAGCAGAGCTGGGCTTCCAGAGCAGGTCCTCCAGGTAGAGCTGAACAGACGGGCAGTGCCGGGAGAGGAGGAAGTGAAGGGATTCTTCTGTGTGTGTGTGCAGGAATGAGCACAATATGCAGAGATGTGTGAAGTGTGTGTGTGTGTGTCCACATGTGCATGTGTGCACAAGTGAGCAGGAACGGACACAGTGTGCAGAGATGTGTGAAGGCCTGGCCGGGCCTCTCTGGAGGATTGCAGAGTTGGAGAAAGTGGCTGGCATGGATTTGGGCTGCCTGCCCCTGGGTGGGGATTCAATGCAGACACATCACTGTGATGACTGGCTGACCATCTTCTTTCTGTAGCTTTGCCTCTGGGTTGGGGCATATCCCATAACCTTGATTACACATCTGCCAAGTAGGCACTCCTGGTTTTGATGACAGCTTGCTGAAGGATCAGCCCTGACTGCAGCAAAGTGCCATGATGCTTGTGGTTTTGAAAAGAGAAGAAGCGAGCCGGGCTGTGTCTGGCTCCTGTGAGGAGTGGCTGGCTAGCCCTGGGGTCTGGGTGACTGGTAGTATCATTGTGCTGATGGACAGTCTGGTAGACAAAGCGGGGGGTAGTTTGGCAAGGAATGGATAAGATTCTGCTGGGATAGAGGTACTGTTGGAAAATGCCAGCTGTCTAGACGGTGTCAGGAGTTATCTGATGAAGGCTGGGATTGGGCGGGATTTTCTCGCGTGTCCTCCACATCTGAAGTTGATATCTCTTTCTTCTTAAACTTTTTACAGCCTTGTGTTGAGAGCTGTCACGTGTATAGAGTTAGAGACAGATGGACCCACACGGACTCATCTGTATCTGTGTCATTCTCTGTGACTCAGTGATCCACCCATGAAATATTAATATGTTTCAGGAGAAGTAAACACTAACACACAGAGAAGCATCAAAGAAAAAGAAAGTAGATTTTTAACTCAACCAAAATATGAGGTGATTTTATAATAAACCATGCATAGTAGCTTGATGACATGTAATGATGCCATTAAATTAATTTATACCCCAACTGTACAGTAAGTACCGGTTATTGCCAGGTTATTCCACGTTAAAATAACATGGAAATGCCTATGCCATTCTATTATGTGAAAAACGAGACAAAGTGATACACGAAGCATGCTCATAAACGTGGCTATGCAAAAATTTCCCCCAAAATGTGTGCTTTGGGTTAAGACTTGGAAGGAGTACTTTAAAGGTATGTTTATTTACTTCTCTTCCATAGTTTTTACATTTTTCAAATTCCTTTCATGAGGAAAATCTATTAAATGCACTTCTGCTCTGGACGTAGGGCTACCAGCAATCCAGGAAAATTTTCAATTATTCTGAGTCAACTCGTCTATCCCGGGCCTTTTACTCAAGGATTGAAGTGAGATGAGGGTTTCAGGTGAATTTTCCACTTGCTTTCTTCTTATTCCTGCTGATGTGAAGGGCTGTGTGTGTTCCACTTATTTGTCTTAAGCACAGGCTGACCTCAGCAAGCTTTGTCACACCCAACATCACTTGGATTCATACAGCCGGGCTGGGCTCCAGGGTCCCGTACTTGGCAGCTCTCCTCAGTGTTCAAAGTGAAATTTGTCTTGTGGATGATGTTGAAGCTATGGCTTTAGAGGCTGAAATTGTTCTCTGAGCCAGGTCCAATGCTTAGGACTGAAAAAAGAATGATTGCATTTGGATGTAGTGCATTTTTCTATAGTGTGTAACAACTTTTTGCCTAGCTTCACTCTGAGCCTCTTGTTCCTACAGTTACTGCATCCAATCCACATTCTGAACCCCACTGAGCCCATATGCCACCCCCTGCAAATGGCTGTGCAGAGCTGAGTTGGGCCGAGTTAAACTTGGACATTCGGCACATGTTTTGAAGCGGAGCAGGAAGTGAGGGACAGGGTGTATGTAAAAGGAAGGGTCTGCCACTTGTCCTGTGACAGTTTAGGCTCCTTGAAGATTGAAGGTGCGTCAAAATGAGTGTTCCTTGTGTGTGAATAATCTACAGTGTCAAGGAATATAAAAATAATGAGATTGTAGAGGAGAGTGCCCTGATGATTGTAAGCGTAGGGTTGGCATTGGTTCTTCTATCTCATCCCACATAAGAAGGCCCTGTTCCCTCAAGTGACAAACTTCTGTCATTGAGGGGTTCCCAGGCTCCCAGCATCACTCTGAGCCCAGGACATGCAGTGGCCCACAAGCTAATCTCAATCCTTACTTTCCACGCATTTAATTTTCAGTGGTGGAGGACAGACAAGCAACAATTATGCAGGCAAACAAGCAATGGAGAGAAGAAGTCTGTGTGCTAGAAAGTGACTGTGGGCTCTGTAGATGGGTGGTTCAGAAATGGCCTCTGCTAGAAAGTGACGTTTAAGGGAAGACATGAATGAGAACTGGTCAGTTACGCAGAGGTGAGAGCTTTCCAGCCAGATGGAATCATTACTGGAAAAGCTGCAAGGCAAGAATAAATAGGAGATGTTTAAGAACTGTGCCTGAGGCAAAAAGAAGAATCACGGGTGCTGAGGTTGAGGTTAGAACCAGGTGGCACTGTGTGGAGCAGAGTAGTCAGTGGGGCCTTTTACTGAGTGCAGTGTTGTGCTGTGGGAAGGTTGGAAGAAGGAGAGTAACCAGATGTAATTTTCATTTAAAGCATCCTCCCTCCCTGTGGAGCGTGGATTGTCAGGAGGACAGGAGAGAAGCAGGGGGTTCAACCCGGAGTCTTGTTAGGGGTACGGTGAGAAGTCACCAGATACTGATGTTTTTAAGCACAGGAAGGAAGAAGCCCTGGCTCACTGGGTGGTGTGTGAATTAGAGAGGGAATACAGCCTGGGCAGGATGGAGAAACCCCATCTCTACAAAAATTAGCATGCACCTGTGGTCCCAGCTACTAGGGAGGCTGAGGTAGGAGGATCGCTTGAGCCCAGGAGGTCAAGGCTGCAGCGGGTTGTGATTGTGCCACTGCACTCCAGCCTGGGCAACAGAGCAGCACCCTGTCTCTAAAATTACACATAGAGAGAATTGATGATGACTCCAAGGTTTGGATCTGAGCACTGGGACAGACAGAGTTAGCGTTTTACTGAGTTGAGAGGTTGGGAGAAGTGGGTGTGGGGAGGCAGGACAGAAACTCCTTTGGTGAAGTTAGCTTGAGCTTCTCCCGAGGGCTCTCCCTGTGGCTGGTAGACAGAGTCTTCTCCCTGTGTCCTTACAGGGTCTTTCCTGAACACCTCTGGCATCTCCTCTGTGTCTGCATTTTCTCTTCTTATAAAGACACCAGTCAAGTAAGATTTGTCCCCAGCTCTCAACCAATGACTCCATTTTACATGAATTCCCGCTGTGAAGGGCCTGTCTCCAAACACAGTTCCATTTGGACATAGCAGGGCTCAGACTTCCACATAGGAATTTGCGGGGTGTTCAATTCAAACCATAACAACAGCAAATGTTATTGAGGGGTCAAATCCAAGGCTGCTGTAGCTTGAATTTTGTCCCCCCCAAATAGATGTGGAAGTTCTCACTGCCAGTACCTGCAAATGAAGACTTATTTGGAAACAGGGGCCTGCAGGTATAACATAGTTAAGATGAGCTCATGTTAGACTAATGTGGGTACTAAATCTATTGACTGATGTCTTTATAAGAGATAGGAGAGGGAGATATGGAAACGGAGACTTACAGGAAAAGACCATGGGAAGATGGAGGCAGAGATGGGGAGATGCACCCACGAGCTAAGGACCACCTGGGGCTATGAGAGGCTGGAAGAGGCAAGGAAGTCTTCTCCCATGGGGGCTTCAGAGGGAGCATGGCCCTGCCCATGCCTTGATTTCATAGTCCAGTCCCCAAACTGCGAGAGGATAAATGTCTACAGTTTCAAGCCACCCAGTCTGTGTTAATTTGTTACAGCAGCCACAGGAATTAATGCAGATGCTAACACCAAGTGCCCACTGGAGTTGCAGCATGGCTGCCATGGGAAGCCTGATAACAGCGTTTTCTCTGGACTTGGGGTGAACTCTGAGGAGAATGAGAGAAGTGAGTCAGTGAGTGTGGACAACTCTTTCAAGAAATCGTTCCATAAAAGGGGACAGAAAAATCAGATATCATATGGAAAGGGGTGCAGGATCAAAGTCTCTTTAGAGATGAGTAATATAATCTGTCTGCACAGTGATGGGAAAATCCAGTAGAAAGGAAGGAACGGGTTCTGTAGTGGACGGGGACCAGCCAGAGCTACAGAGCTGAGGAGGCTGAGAGGCGATGATGAGATTCTACACACACAGGGGAGTGTGGCGGCCGTGGGAGGAGGATGGGCCTTGCACTCTGCTGGGACACCAGCATCTCCAGGGGCCAGAATAGCAGCGACAGGGTCCCTGATCAGCCCATACAGGGTCACTGCAGAATATAGACATTCAACTGCTTCAGTTTTCTTGGTGACATAATAGATGGGGGAGATGGAAAGATTGGAGGTGGCTAGAGATTAAGCGATTTGATTTTCTTTAGCAATGTTCTAAGCAGAGGCAGAAAAAGTACTAGAAGAGCCTCTCAGGCTCATAGAAACTCCCTTTTCCCGGGTCTCTACAGGTGCGGCATCTGAGTGGGAGACACCAGGCTACACGAGGTCTGGGATTTGATTTTATTTGATTGTTTTAGTGCAGCTGTTTGTTTCACGCTGGGAGAAGGCTGTGTTGGAAGCTGCCCATGCTTTACAGCAGGGCTCCCCAACCTCCGGGCTGCACATCTGTACCGGTCGGCAGCCTGTAGGGAACCAGGCCATACAGCAGGAGGTGACTAGCAGGCAGCAAGCGAGTGAGCGAAACTCCATCTTCCTTTACAGGAACTCCCCATCACTCGCATTACCACCTGAGCTCCACCTCCTGTCAGATCAGCAGCAGCATTAGATTCTCACAGGAGCACAAACCCTACTGTGAATGGGGCACATGAGGGATCGAGGTCACAGGCTCCTTATGCAAATCTAACTAATGCCTGATGATCTGAGGTGAACAGTTCCATCCTGAAACCACCCCCTACCCAAAATCAACTCCATGGAAAAATTGTCTTCCACAAAACTGGTCCTTGGTACCAAAAAGGTTGGGGACAACCACTTTAGAGCAAATGATTCAATCCCATCCCTGGTGGACCCCTATTTGGGTCACCTCAGAAGCAGACTTTGCATCTTCCAAGTTTAAAGCAGTTATTAGGTTGAACAGCATGAAACTGCTTCTATTCTGTTTTTGAGAAAAATGGCAGTGCGTATGGCTCAACCTCGTACTTAGAAATGAGATTTCATCTCAGTGAGATAGAGGCAGGAAACACAATTGCAGTGCCCTCCCTTTACGTTTTGTAGTTCAGAATTGCGTGAAGGTTGTTATCTGTGAGAACTCTAACAGGGAAGACAAAAGGGGACAGATGTAAATACACATGATGTGAAACAGACCCTTCCTGGCCAACTGATGCACTGGCACCTCGTGTTTGTTGCCCATCAGGCGTCCACCAGGGCCCTCAGAGCTGGACTGAGTATCTCAGGCAGGCAGCTTGCCCACCATCCTTCCTGCCCTACTAGTACATCCTGGGACCCTCAGAGCTGGATTCCCAGACAGGCATCTTATCCACCATCCTTCCTGCCCTGTAAGTACATCCTAGGACCCTCGGAGCTGGACTCTGATTCTCAGGCAAGTAGCTTGCCCACTGTCCTTCCTGCCCTGTGATTATATCCTAAGACCCTCAGAGTTGGACTCTCAGGGAGGCAGCTTGTCCACCGTCCTTCCTGCCCTGCCAGTACAACCTAGGGCCCTAAGAGCTGGACTGAGTATCTCAGGCAGGAAGCTTGCCCATTGTCCCTCCTGCCCTGACAATACATCCTAGGACCCTCAGAGCTGGATTCCCAGACAGGCAGCTTGCCCACTGTCCTCTCTGCCCTGTAAGTACATCCTAGAACCCTCAGAGCTGGACTGAGCATCTCAGGCAAGCAGCTTGTCCTCCGTCCTTCCCACCCTGTAAGTACATCCTAGGTCCCTCGGAGTTGGATTCTCAGGCAGGCAGCTTGCCCACTGTCCTACTGTCCTGCGAGTATGTCCTAGGACCCTTTGAGCTGGACTGAGCATCTCAGGCAGGCAGCTTGTCCCCCGTTCTCCCTGCCCTGCTAGTACGTTCTAGTACCCCTTGCCTTCTGAATTATATCTTGACCAACTAAAATAAAATGTAAGCTCAAATTAAAAGGTGCTTCTAGAATCTTTTTACCACTTTCTGTAGCAGACCAATACCTAGCATACAGACCTGAGGAACAGATCATCTTTGAGCATCTTACCCTCTATGTGACAAAATTGTTTCCAAAATTATCATATTAAATAAAAACATATTAATAAAAACATATCATATTAAATATAAAACAATATTAATAGACCAGAAAATATCGAGAGCAAATTTTTTTAAAATTCAGCTTCATATTTCTACATATAAAATCATACTAACAAAAAGTTATGAAAGATATTACACTACAAATATTTCAAAAATACAATAGCTTTTAAAAATGTGGACATTAATGTTTTGTTAACTGTCTGATGTAATACTATTAAATGTAAATGATTGGTAGCCAAAAAATTATTGCTAAAGACAAAATTTACAAAATTATATCATATCACTGATTTAAGATTATTTATTTCTGGTTTTTAGTTTTAAATAATAATTTAAAAATGATTAATTTCAATTTTAGATATATGTTTCTTATTTAGCATAATATTCCATATCTAAACTAAAATTTGCATTTGTCAAACAAAATAGTACCTCAAAACTTACGCTGTTTCGCTGTTTTAAATTCAAAACACAATACTGCGAGTGATCTGGTAGAATGAGGGATCTGAGCCCACTCACTTTCTTGTCCTCCTCTTTGCAGTCATTGTGCTATTGCTGTTTATTTGGAATCGACTCTTTCAACTCAGGAGTGTGTAGGGCCCGAGGGCTGGAGATGGGAGCTATGCTTAAAGGGAGCTGGAACCATTCAAGGCCACCTGGAACTCAGTCCTGAATCTGCGATGTGTAGCGGGCCCACGTGCCGGGGCTGGACTCACGGTCGTGGCGTCTGCAGTGCTACGCAGAGGGTAAGGAATGGAAATGTGCCAATCCAAAGCTGATATGTAGTAGCCATTTCGAAGATAAACCAAGAAAAGATCTGATCTCCCCCCGTGGAGGAGTAACTCATTACCAGCAGTGACAGCATGACACGACGATAATGCAAAACAGACCAAGGTTTGATCAATTTTGTTATTGGTTTTTAAAATCCTCCAAGACAATGCACCTGCTTTTTGCCCATATCTGCAGAGTGTTCCCATGCCTGCCTTTGTGTGCCATGCTGAGTCTTCCCAAAAGATTGTACAGTCTCTATGCCCATAGTCATTTAATTCCTTCTGAAGTGCTACCTGTTCCATGCATGGGGCAAGGAGGAAGTCAGGTGTGCATCTTGATGAGTAAGTTAGAGTTCCAGGTAATGCACATGGACACTGCACCCTCATCAGTATGAGCAGCACAGAATTCTCCTTCTTCACGTCACTGGGACATGGGATCACTTTACAATTAACGTGCAGCCCATATCCCCTTACATGAGGGATGCTGTGTATTTGCACCTCATGGGGGTAGCCTATTGACAATAGCAGAATACAGCTGTCAAGCAAATTGATGGGGAAAAATAAAACAATTTGAAAACAAATTATCCATTACCTCCATTTCTCCCACAAGCTTATCTGGAATACCAAATAACAGCTGTAGAATAAGTAGATTAATTAATACTGACTCACAGAAACTCAGTTTTCAAGCCTTTATTGTATTTCTGAAGACAAGAAGAATGCCAAATCCCATACCTGAACTCCTTGGAGCCAAGGATCTTTTAGAATTCTAAACCTTCAGACTTCAGAAAGGCAGAGCCGTGCCTGTGTTTTATAGCAGTTGTATAGAAAGTGTCCAGGCAGTGCTCAGGAATGAAATTGAGTTGGCCCTCATTATTTGCAGATTTCGTATTTCTAAATTTCCTACCTGATAAAATATATTTGTAACCACAAAATCAACGCTCACAGTACTTTCACAGTTGTTCACAGACATGCATGCATCAAAAAACTAATATAAAATTTGCACCACCTGCTGTGCTCACATTCCCAGCTAAGGCTAAGCCAGGCGACCTCTGCATTCTTGTTTCGTGCTGTGAACAAGTTTCCATTATGCTACCTATTTAAAGCCACATTTTAAATTTTTATTTATTTTATTTGTTTATTATTATTATTAATATTATTATTTGAGATGGAGCCTCGCTCTGTCACCCAGGCTGGAGTGCAATGGTGTGATCTCAGCTCGCTGCAACCTCTGCCTCCCAAATTCAAGTGATTCTCCTGCCTCAGCCTCCCAAGTAGGTGCGATTACAGGCACATGCCACCATGCCCGGCTAATTTTTTTATTTTTAGTAGAGACGGGGTTTCACCATGTTGGTCAGGCTGCTCTCTAACTCCTGATCTCAAGTGATGCACCCCCCTCAGCCTCCCAAAGTGCTGGGATTACAGGTGTGAGTCACCACTCCCAACCCCAAGAGCCACATTTTTAAAAATGTTTCATTTCTATGCTTTTGTTGATGATGATCCTGTTCAGGATGGCCCAGAGTATACTGCAGATGTGCTGTCTCCTGTCTTTTTGTCTCTGAGCACAGAGGCTGTGATGTGCCTTGTGGAGAAAATACCTGAGTTCCAGAAGCTTCACTCAGGCACATGTTCCAGTACTGCTGGCTGTGAGTTCATCGTTCATGAATCCACTGTGTGTATTAAATGAGGTGTCTTTAAACAGAAACACACTTAAAACGGGGCTATGCATTGATTTCTTGATGAAAATATTGAGACCAGAGGCTTTCAGGAACCTAACCCTGTATTTCCCCTAGGAGCAAATGTTCAGTGCTCACCAATTCAGTGTTCACAGAGACTTTATTGAACAGAATTACCAGGAATAAACAGAATTAACTGTCTATTGAGATCTGTGCTGAGAAAAACATGAATATTTACACAATAGGAGAGCCTTGTCTTGGGTTAGGTCAGGTTTTGCCATTATAGTCATGAGTCAACTAGCAAGGAGGATACCTCCTGAGAAATGCATTGCCAGGCAGTTTCATCATGATGTGAGCATCACAGAGTGAATTTACACAGATGTAGATGGTGCGGTCCCCAACAAAC
The DNA here is from genome assembly GCF_000001405.40 of Homo sapiens. NCBI lineage: Eukaryota > Metazoa > Chordata > Mammalia > Primates > Hominidae > Homo > Homo sapiens. The sequence continues at coordinate 2,826,795 of NC_000010.11, read as the reverse complement.
CTAGGCTGTATGATATGGCCTGTTGCTCCCAGGCTCTAAACCTATATAGGATGCGCTGGACTGAACACTGTAGCCAGCTGTAATGCAGTGGTATTTGTGTATCTAAACATACTTAAACATAAGAAAGTAAAACTATGTTACTGTAATTCGAAGGGACCACCGTCATGTATGTAGTCCAGAGTGGACAGAAATGTTACACAGCACGTGACTGTAATTTATTTCAGTTTAAACAAGGTGCCAGATGAATTAAGAAAAAGAAATTGGTTTCAAACTTCCTGGAATTTGGAATTGTACCTAGGGGACGTGATACTCTAGTAGCTGGTGTAAGACCCTCATAGTCTCTACTTAATAAAATAATGTGATTAGTTTGCTAAGCATGTTGACAGTATATCTATGTATGTTGAGGCTTTGTTTCTTAAAGTTTTTAATTATTGAAAACATATTCTTACAATGGTTTATATTTTTATTTGGTTTAACAAACCTTTTTTTTTTTTCTAAGTCATGAGAAACTAAGTTTCCACTGGGCACTGTTGACTTATCACAGATCCCAAGATAGTAAGGTACAAATTACCGGAGATTTACTAAAGCCACTTGTTGCTCTCCTGGGTTGGCAGGGCATAGGCAAAGCACAGAGAAATGAAATCAACAGACACCATTCAGATCTCACCTAAATTAATAGTTACAGCTTCCCACTCCATCAGATCTTTCATCAGAGCTGCTAATGAGGAGTAAATTGGTTGATTTGAGCTGTACCTCCTCTCTGTCTCCTGGCTCTCCCCTGGGTACAGTGCTAATGAGAAGTGAAATGACCAGAACCAGGCAGCAGAGCAGGAGAGAATCCGCAGCTGACCGGCCCCTGCTTACCTCGCTCTGAACAATGAAGGGCTGCCATAAAACAGAAGGAAAAATAGGAAATTATGTAGAGATGAATGACAAAATTTTATTTGTCTTTTTCCATGTTAGGTTTACTTTATCAATAAATATTTGGACATTTTCAAATTAAAAATAAAATCAAGAGACGTTTCTGTAATTCATGTTTATTTGAAAATTAAGATCTAACACTGTAAATTTAAAAGGCATAAGATCTGCTTTTGTGTCTCGGTGGTTTTCTCTAAGTATCTTTAGTTGTGTAATATAATGTAATGTATATTATATCATACGTATTTTATCTACATATTAATTTAATTTGAGGCATACATATATAAAAATACGTATGATATATAAATAATGTATATAAATAGCTAGACTAAATATATTATATAATAATATATATTAAATTAATGTATTATATATAAATATGAAATATTAGATATAGAGCAAATAATTTAAAAGTTTATATATAGAGAGAGCATATAAACAAGATGCAAAGGCAGAGCTTATGCTTTTTAAATGTACAAGTGTTGGATCTTAATTTCCAAATAAACATTGATTACAGAAATTTCTCTTCATTTTATTTTTAATTTGAAAATGTTCACATATTTAAAAAGTCCACGTTATATAAATATATATATAAATAATATATATAATATATCTGCTAATTTAATGAGGAACATTTACATATTACATATGTACGCATTCACATACTTATTAATAATGTTGATAAATATGAGGATATGTGGATATTTATTAATGCATAATATAGATGTTAATTTAATGTAAGGCATACATACATATGTATCCACATATTTACTGATAAAGTAAAACTAAAATGTAATAAGAAAAATAAACTAAAATATTACATAAGCAGCCTTATATTAATTTAAGACATGACCACCTCTTTGGCTACTTGAGATCGTAGAAAAATTTAGAGAGAATTAAGATGCTTTCTTTTTTTTGATGAATTTTATTATTTCTAGCTTTAAATACATAGCTAGTATGGCAATTACTTGAAAAATCATATATGAATTAAATTATTTGTTTTTCTTTAAATTTTGGAAGTCTTAAGTACGTATTTAAGTACATCTCTGCTTTCCTGATTAGTCTTCAGTAATTCATATCATCAGTTACAATTCAGTCCAAAATCTGCAAAGGAGTAATAGCTACAACTTCTTTGTTGCATGAGTACACAAATACAAGAATTGTGACATATACTTTTATATATACGTGTGTGTGTGTGTAGGTATATATGCATACATATAAATAGTGTGTGTATGTGTATGTGTGTGTGTATATATATATATATAGTATTTTAAAATAGGTATTATTCCTGTTAACCTGCAAGAAATCAATATGACTGTCAATAGTATATGAAATGACTGCTTTGATTTGGAATGCAATTCAGTATTTATTCAAACATTGATGGATAAGAACCAAATTTAGTCCTAGACATAGTGTAAATAGGCTGAGAAGACTGGGAGAAACAGTGGAAAATGTAAAATTTGTCATTATGTGCCTACAAATCATCTCTGTTTCTTCAATATAGGGAAAGTTCTAAATATAAGAGTGGTCTTCTGTGCAAGACATCACTGTCAATCTCTGGTTTTCCATGGCAACACTGCCACGATTCCTAGGCACCTGCTCTCTCCCTACTTTTACGAGGGTGTCTGAGCCCTGACAAGACCCAGGGTAAGAAGAGAACATCAGTGCTTCTGCGTGCCTGGGTTCCTGCCACTTACAAAAGCTCCTTTACAGTCAGTGTCTCTTACTTGGTTTCTTTGACTTATTGGCAACAAGAGTGATATTTCTTGGACTTTGGAAAACAATACTGCTTTTGAGTAGCCAGTAGCCAATATTGGAGTAGAGCAGAAATGCTTGGACCAAGATCCAGGCCGTAGATGGCAGCGTCTCTGTGAGTCCACACCTGTGATTCCCACTAACATTTAGGTAGTAAACAATTCAGAATAGCCGAGGAGAACAGCAAAAAAACAACTGCCCAATTATTAAATAGGGAGCTGAAAAAAAGGAGGCATTTTCTTCATGGAGAGTGAACAATTTGGGCTGTGAAACTTCATTGACGAGAAGAAGGCTCAGGCACAAGGAGTGGGGAGGAAAGGTCTGCAGCCACCTGGGGTTGGAGGCCACAGCCGCTGAGCAATGTCAGCTTTTCTTTTTTTTTCTTGTATTTTAGAGTGTAATTTCTCAGTCATGTTCCTTTTCAAAGAGAATTGTTTGCATTAAACTCACACACTCAAGGGCCCTAGGTATTCACATTCTGTTAGAAAGAGTGGACTTCCACTTCCGGGGTCCTCTGGGAGGTGCAGCTTCCTGGGAGCCTGCTTTCCAGGTGTCCTGGATAACAGACAATGCTACAGTGATCACTTTTCCCCTGCTATTTCCCTAAGGCTTCATAATTTATTGGCTATCTTTCAACTCAAATTGTCCTGTAATACTACTGCGTTCAGCTTATCAGAGGAAACTCAAAGATTTTTCTCACTGCTTGGGAGATTTGTGTTGCCAGACTCGATGAAAACACACACTGGTGGACTTGAGTATTATTCATAATTTGTTGTTCCTTCCCCTAGATTATTTGTCCCCATCCTTGCCACAGATCTCAACAGAAGGAGGGTCCTCACTCACTGGATGGTGGGCTTGGCTGAGTGACTTGCTTCAAACACTAGAATGTGAGCAAATGTGCCCCTAGGAGCAGGAGGCTTCAATGCAACTTCGAAGTCTGGAGCAGCTTCTGTGCTCCCACCCTCTCTCGCGAGGACATCACATCCTCATTGTGGGTCCTAGAATAAGAAGGTCCATGATGCAGGCAACATGCAGTGGCTTCACAGCCCAGAACAGAGGCCCAGTCAACCCTCAGCCCTTAATTAACGTAAGAAACAAATGTTTGTTGTTGTAAGCCACTGAGATTTGGGGGGGCTGTTTGTTACGTGGTGAGTTATATATGACTGAAACACTAAAGGGAAGATGAGGGAATAGCATACTAAGCAAGAAATGGAAGAGAGTAGAATCGAACAGCCAAACCAGGTGTCTTAGTTCTCTACTGCCACAATGACATTAGACAGCAAACCATGCTGAAACTCAGTGTTTTACAACAAGAGGCCTCAGTTAGCTCATGAGTCTGTGTGTCCAGGCAACTGTGGCTGTTCTCAGTGGGTGATTTTTTGGTCTCAGCTAGATTTGCCCACTAATCTGGCAGTAGGTTGGATATCGATAGAACAATGGAGACCAGTAAGGTCTCATTCTTCACAGACTCCCCTGGGAAGGCTCTGAGGGCAGCCACAGAGCACAGGAGCAGAAGGGGGACATACACATGGGCTTTGCCAAGGCTCTGCTTGAATCGCATCTCGTGACCTCCCACCCAAGACCCTCATGGGGCTGAGCCTGGCATGAAAGGATGCATGGAATGCCCCAACTGGATGGGAGGATGCTACAGAGCCATGTGATGCAGGGTGGGGACACTGGAAAGGGTGAAGTCCTGGGGATGCTTGGCAATTTGCCATGTCAAGTTTAGACACATGACATAGGAGGAGGTCAAATTCAGGTGAGGGGAAGGAAACACATGGGGTGTGACGTAAGAGGACATGTGAGGCTTTAACTTCTGGGGCTCATCTGATGATTTAGCTTTGTAAAGACTGTTAACCTTGCCTAGCGCTTTCTTGCAGATGCCAGTAACAATCCTTCTTCAAAGGATCTAACCAAAATGCACATTTGAGTTCATACTCATACTGGCTACTCTCAGGTAAGACCAAGGGTTGGTGTATTCTCTGACCTATCTTCTTCCCAACTGTGCAGCTAAGCACACAAGCTCAGAGGCTACAGGAAAGGTAAGACAAGGCTAAGCATAGTCTATGAACACGATTTGAAAGTTTGTTACTTAGGTGTCTGAGTTTGCTTTTTCATAAACTATGATTTTGCATGGGATAAGGAGCCTAGAGGCACAGCTACCAAGAACATATTTTGTGATAGGTGGTGATTCCCCAGTATTTGAGAGCCAATGAACAAAAGCTAAGAACATTTCACACAACGAGGGACTCTCATTATAGCTGTTGTGTAGCTTTTGATATGAGAGTTGATAGTTCATATCAGTAATCCAAAAATGAATGGAATCTTGATGGGTACATTCTGTATAATTTGGTATCCAAATTCTGCAAAGCATATTTCCCCCAATAAATTGATAATTTTGTTTTATTAGACAAACCATGAATATTCGTTTAGGGGAAGGTCCTTAATTCTTAATTGATTCATCCTTGCTACCTATGAAAGTATTTCTTTGAATTTGCTTATAATTGAATGAGTTATTTTTATTTTACTAGACTGATTGCTTTATTCCTAATACTGTCATGTTCATTGAATTGAGTGACAAGATCATTAGAAAGAAATAAACAATAGCAAAATACTTTTCCTTGGTTGGTTCCTTGTTATTGCTGTAGTTTCAAACGGTCTTGTTCTGTCGCCCAGACTGGAGTACAGTGCCGTGATCCTAGCTCACTGCAGCCTCGAGCTCCTGGGTGCAAACGATCCTACCACCCTGGTCACCTGAGTAGCTGGGGCTACAGGCATGTGCCACCAGGCCCAGCTAATTTCTTTAAAATTTTTGTAGAGATGGGGTCTTGCTTTGTTGCCCAGGCTGGTCTCAAACTCCTGGGCTCAAGTGATTCTTGTCTTGGCCTCCTAAAGTGCTGGGATTACAGGTGTGAGCCACCTCGCCTGGCTGCAGAATACTTTTGGATTTTCAAAAATTGTTAAGGGCTTGGAAATAGTCCCATTCCCAGGGCTTTCTTACCTCAGCAGGATGTCCTAGTCTGTGTGGTACGATGCAGAGTGTTCACGAGCCACTCTGCCTTCAGTACATGTAGCTGAGGCCAGAGGGAAGATGCTAGGAAAACCCAGGACCACTGAGCAATCTCAGGGAAGGGGTCTCTGTGGGTTTTCAGCATGGCCCATCCTTTTCTCAGCTGTGGCCGCTTACAGATGAGCCCATCAAAAACGTGCATTTCTGTTAAAATGTTTTGGTTTCTAATATCTCCTTTTGACTCTTACTTATTGTTTCCGTCTTTCTGCTTACCTTACCTTTCTTGCACAGCACCCGCCTTTTCCATTCTAGCCCTTAGCATACCAATCCGAGTTCTTTTAAATTTCCTTGTCTGAGAACTCCAACCCCTCTGCCATGTGTGATTCTGGTTCTGATGCTCACCCGTGTGTTTTGTCTCTTAGTACATCTTGTAGTTGTTTGTTGAAAGCAGGACATGATGTCCTGAGATACTGCTTCTTGTGGAAGTTTCTGCTCTTAAGTGAATTACTACTCTGGAAAGTTGTGATTCTCTGTATCCACCTAGCTCTCCAATCTGGGGGACAGGGATTTGCACTGTGGCCTCTGTTCTCTCTGACTCCAAGAAGTTGTTGATTTTCAGTTTGTTGAGCTTTTTGTTGTTCGTTGTTTTAGAATTGAGTGACAACTTCCAAGCTTCTAATACATCATGCCAGAAACTGAAGTGTGCATGGCCATCCTTTATCCAGCAAGTCTTGGTTACTCCTTAAATGAGGTATAAATGGCACCTGCCATTAAATGAAGCAGCAGCTGACAAAGACACATTTTGGGAGATAGGTTGAACAGAGAGTACCCACATAAACGTGTGAACTCATTCATGTTAGTCCCTCTCCCCAACAGTGCCGTGTACACTTCCCAAATAAAGCTTCTGTTGGCAGTGTGGAATTTGCTTAATGTTAGAGGAAGAAAAAAGTGTGTGATCATAGCTAAGTGGGACTTTATTTTATTTGGCCCTGTAGACATTTAGAGGAGCACTGAGGAAACAGAGACAAGTACCTGAGACTTTTGTGCTAAGTGGAATAAGCCCAGCGCAGAAAAACAGGTACTGCATGACCTCAGTCACATGCGGAATCGAAAAATCCAGTCCCACACAAACAAGAAGTAGAAAGGCCTTATCAGAGGCTAGGGAGCAGGAGGGGCAGTGAAAGGGCAGACACTGATTAAAGAGTACAAAGTAAGACCAGAGGAATAAGTTTTGGTGATCAATTTCACTGCATGGTGACCACAATTTATAATAATGTATTGTGTATTTCAAAATTGCTAAAAGAACAGATTTTTGACGTTTTTGCCACGCACACACACACACACACACACACACACATAATGATAAGCTGGTGAAGCCACAGGTATGTTAATTATCTCAGTTTAATCTTTCTACGGTTTATACATATATACACATCAAAATATCGCATTGTACCCTACTGGTATATACAATTATTGGTTGTCAATTAAAAGAATAAATTAAAAACCTTGAAGAAATAAAGTCTTGGAGGCAACAAAGTGTTGTTCAGTCTAGAAGAGATAAGACTTACTCTCTGTGACTACATTATCAAATTATGTGCTCCTCCAGGGAAGAGTAAACAACATAGTGCTTTGTCTGGTGTTTGCTGTTACCAATAAATATTAGCAATGATGGTGAGAGTTTTATCCTGTTCTCTATGCTTATGGCGCAGTGCCTGGTATATGGTGGGTTTGCTGAAGTAAAAAAAACCCAGTGAACTTCATTATGTAAAGTGGACTGACCTAATATTCTTTCTTCTCTCCAGAAAATAGAACTTGAGAACACGGGCTTACATTTGTACAGTTAGTTGAAGTTAATTATAAGAACTAACCCTTCTGGTATTTCTGGGAGAATTTGCTTGGAAAAGTCAAGCACTTTATTTCTCATCAAATATTTAAGATTGGGAAGATTTAATTTTAATCCTACTTAATAGTTCTTGGGTCAACTATAAAATTATAACATTTAAAAAATCACTTCAAAGGGTTTTTCTTTTATAAAGATTATCCTACTTGGCTTAGAAAAGAAACAGATCATTATTTGAGGAATCATTCTATTGTTATATTCTCTCCATAGCTTTGCTGAAAACATTAACCTTGTCCCAGAGATAATCCACTTGTAATATTCACTGTTTCCTCTGGATCTCAGAGTAAAAAAGGAGCAAATTCCTTCTTAGGTTTCTTTTTCCCCGTTAGTGGTTTCTTTTAAAAACGAAAACCTATTTAGAAGTGGATATGTCTTTTTATTTAAATTCAAAAATTGTAATAATGTGCAAAAAATGAAAGCTGAAAAACCAAAGCTGGGCATTGGAACACACCCTGAATATCTGATGAGGTGGCCCCAAATTGCCAAGGGATAGAGTTCTTGTAATTAACCAGTAGACTTCCAGGTCCAGCTCCCACCCAAGTTCAAGTCCAGACAAGTGGTTAATCAAGTGCAAACCAGCTTACGTTAGTGCTTTTAAAGTTGAGTGACAGACACAGGAAAGAGTCCTGTGGTGGAGCACTCGGACCGTCCCCACACCCCATCCCCTCCCTCCCTCTCAGTCTTGGTGAGAGCTGCTTGGGCGAGAATTGCCCCCGAAGAACCTGACTCCTGGGGAGCTTCATGCTCCCCTGCCCCACCTCCCATGCACAGGGTGCTGCTGATGACAGAGGCCAGCCGTGGGAGGAGGCCATTCCGCATAGACGTTTCCACCGAAATGGGTTATTTCAGCCTCGGTGGTCACAGATTCTGTGGTTTTCCAGTGATTCATCTTACTATTAATAATGTCAGAGAATTTTAGGCCCTTGAATTAAATAATGATAAATAGGAACCATGGAGTGCGCCAGGCGAGGCCGTGCTGTTTATTTCAGCGTGCAGCACTGTCAGGCCTGATAAATCGGCTCCCTGAAATAGTTTATAAAGTATTGAATTGATGTGGCCGTTGGAGAGGGAGAGAATTAATGTTACGAAATAGGCCTGCAACCTAGATTGGATGAAAGCGGAGGAAAGCCTTTTATATAAATGCTGTGTCTGCGGAGGCAATGGTTGCCACCAGAGGTGAGTGAGCTCCCAGGGGAATAATGAGCTTCTGTGATCTCCGGGGCAGCAGGTCAGGGAAGGGGAGCTGGGGGGCCAGGAGGACCCAGGGCTGGCAGCGCGAAGGGGGGTTGCAGGCTGTTCTTTTATAGTGCCGAGCAGGAAGGATGAAGGATGCAGGAGAGAAATGAAAGGCTGTTTAAAGAGGAAGTGGAGGCTTTGGCTCTGCATGGCCATATTTACAAGCTTCATGTCAAAGAAAGGTGACCCAGCGTCCATCAACACTGAGAGCCCCTTCTCACCTCCCTGTTCCAGGCCAGACTCAGCACAACCAGCCCATACCAGCAGGTGTCTTAAAATCCTGTCGTCCTGAGATTGAGGCTACCCATAGTAATTATCTCATTAGGTCTTTACAGAGAAAATAAGGCTGATTTTATTTTTAACATTTCTGTAACCAATAACATTTTTTGGAAATGCTTAGGCCACATGAGGGAACAGAAGGCATTGGGAATGTGGTAATTTATAAATACTATGAAAATATTCATCCATCATTAGTGGCATTTTCCTAAAATTGAAGCTTGGATTCCAATTTGTTTGATGATGGAAAGGGTGAATTTTTCAATGTGTCTCTGAGGAGTGCACCTCGGACTTAGTGACTCACTCGGCCTCCGAGAATCATCTGAAGATGGCAATAAAGGGCTTTCGGAGATCGTCCTCCATGTCCTTATTCATTTAAGATACGTGTATTAATGTTGCCTCTAGGGAAGAGTAAAGCAGATCAACAACCCCCCCAAATCCCTCATGTTTTAATAACTTCTCATTTTGCATATATATATATAATAATTATTATCATTATTTTTGAGACGGAGTCTTGCTCTGTTGCTTAGGCTGGAGTGCAGTGGCACCAGCTCGGCTCACCACAACCTCCACCTCCTGGGTTTAAGCAATTCTCTGCCTCAGCCTCCCAGAGTAGCTGGGGTTATAGGCACGCACCACCATGCCTGGCTAATTGTTGTATTTTTAGTAGAGATGGGGTTTCACCATCTTGGCCAGGCTGGTCTTGAACTCCTGACCTGGTGATCCATTTGCCTCGGCCTCCCAAAGTGCTGGGATTGCAGGCGTGAGCCACCGCGCTCGGCCAATATTTTTTAAAAGTGAACAATGTTACACTTTTATCAAAATGGGTTAACCCAAAGGCAGCAGCACCTGGAAGTCCAGCCCCAAAATGACACCTCATTTGTCGCATTTCTCCTTCATTAGCGCTTTTATGAACGCCGGTGGAAAACAGAAGACAGGCCTGCCACTGATTGTGACTTCTGAAAATGTGAGCTAGAAATGTCCATACACAAAATGGCTAGAAAAAGGGCTGGGCGTGGCGGCTCACACCTGTAATCCCAGCACTTTGGGAAGCTGAGGAGGGCAGATCACCTGAGGTCAGGAGTTCAAGACCAGCCAGCCCAACATGCTGAATTACCATCTTTACTAAAAAAACAAAAATTAGCTGGGCGTGGTGACAGGTGCCTATAATCCCAGCTACTCGGGAGGCTGAGGCAGGAGAATCACTTGAACCCAGGAGGCAGAGGTTGCAATGAGCTGAGATCATGTCACTGCACTCCAGCCTGGGCAACAGAGCGAGACTCTGTCTGTAAACAAAACAAAACAAAACAAATAAACAAAGCTACCAAACAAACAAAACACAAAATGGCTAGAAAACATAAGCAGCATAACATTCAGTCTGATGTGTACATGATTTGGCACCGTGACAAGGTGGGACTTAGGGTTTCATGCAAGATTTGCTTTTTAAAAAATTTTTTTAGTGGAGCAATTGAGAGTGTTTTTAGGGAAGAAAGGATCTGACGTGGCTGTTCCCTGGTGCCTCAATACTCTTAGGATTACACAGAACACAACAGGGAGGCATTCAGTAGATGCCCAGGGAAGTCTCTGCACATGCAGCTGTGTCTAACCTCAACAGTGACAATTAAACTTCTATTCAGAGCTAAGGAACCAGAAGACCAAGATGCCACGAGGCAAAAAGTTCCCATTGGATGCATCAACTTGTAGGATTGTGGGTCAGATTCTTCATTTACATGAATTTCATTATGTCTGATAAAGGGTCCCCACAGAGCCACCATGACTGACCAGTGATTGAAACCATGACTGACCAGTGATTGAAATAGGGGGGTGAGGAAGGATTTCAAGATACTCCAGGGAAGAAAGCAAGGGTAAAACTAACAGGAACTTGGCTCTGTCAAGGTTCTGCAACGGCAAGGCAGGATTCCCATCTCACTTCCCCACATTAAACTCATGACTTCAGCACTGTGCCCTCCTTCCCACCTCCCCAGCTTTCACAGGAGGGACCAGCCTGTCAGGACCAAGACACGTTCCTTCACACTTGAGCCAAAGTTCTCTTTAGGACTCACTCTTCCCTACGCTATCTTCTTACAGGATGACCGCTTTCTGAAAACTAAAAGATGGTTTTCCAGCCGGGTGCGATGGCTCACACCTGTAATCCCAGCACTTTGGGAGGCCGAGGCAGGCGGATCACAAGGTCAGGAGATCGAGACCATCCTGGCTAACATGGTAAAATCCCGTCTCTACTAAAAATACAAAAAATTAGCCGGGCATGGTGGCAGGCGCCTGTAGTCCCAGGTACTCAGGAGGCTGAGGCAGGAGAATGGCATGAACCCGGGAGGCGGAGCTTGCAGTGAGCTGAGATTGCGCCACTGCACTACAGCCTGGGCAACAGAGCAAGACTCTGTCTCAAAAAAAAAAAAAAAAAAAAAAAAGATGATTTTCCTCGTGGCCCCCGTTCACAATTAGAACTTGGATTAAAGATCAAATTGGAGCTCCACTGCTCACCAGGTAACTAAGAGATGTATTTCCTCATGGACCCCGCTCACCTGCTTGGATTAGAGATCAAATCGGAGCTCCACTTTCTCACCAGAAATGACCTGTGAAGCCCAGCCTGTGTGCCTCAGATCTTTTCCAGCCCTAATGAAGCACCCGCTTCCACAGCTTGTTTCATCACAGTAACTAGGATGACCCTGGTGTTAAAGCGGGAAGCCTTTGCCTCCCAGGAACCTCCCCTGTCCTGGCAAACTGGGACAGTTTTTTGCCCTAGTAATATAACACTCTCCATCACACACGCCTTGCTTAGAGTGTTGAGCACCAGCACAGGCTCAGCTTTTTGTTATTTTAACCAGCTTTTGCATTTTTGCAGACGTTACCTTTTTAAGTCAGACTGCCACATCTAAAGGTGCGAACTCTTCCCTCCCTAGAATGACAGAGTCAGGGTAGTTTAGCTTTTCCGTGATCAGAGGGGACTGGTACAAAGAAGTCACTGCTCAGGGGTCACTCTGAAACCTTTCCCCTGTGAAACTGAGACGTTTCACCCCAAAGCTACAACACTCTTGGTTTCTCCAGTTCTCTTCTCCAGTTGGTGTGGCTCCTTCGTGTGACCTATCTCAGCCATTCCTCTTGGTGCTGTTGACATCCTCTATAGTTGATTTTCTGCCTTACTTAGTGGGTAATTCTAATTGAATAGGACAAAAGTAGAAATGTCAGCTTCTCCTCCAGAGGCCGAACCTGCCATTTTGGGGGCAGGTTTTTCATTCTCGGAGTGTCTCTTTATTTACAGTCAAGCTGATGGCCACGTTCAAGATGACTGGTGCTGCTGAGAGTCTGATTTTCAGATTGGCTTGGTGCTACGCGGCTGTAGCTGATCTGCAAGGAGAGGTAAACAAGGTGATCTGGGTTTTAAAATCTTAGAAAGATAGGCTTTGAGCAATTTTTCTGACCTGAGTTAATTTGGCTTGTCTGGATTAGGTCACTATGGAGTCAGCTTTTCTTACTCAAAAATAATTGCCTTCTCGGTGGTAAGCTCATGGGCTGTATGGCAGGCTAGAGAGAGAAAAAGAGAGCTGAACAAAAGAGAGATGCAATCACATATAATTTTCTTACCTAGATATGTTATTTATGATAGAAAAGCAAGGGATGCTTGCATTCAGCTTGTCGATGGACATAGGTTTCCCCTATCTCTGAGAGAAGGCATTGATTTCGAGAGCCATTGTGGGTGAACGATGGAACACTCTGGATTAACTCCCTCTGTCTGAACTGATTGCTCTTACAGGGCCGACCAACCGGAGCCATGTTTTACATATTCAATTTAAGGCACATGGTTAGTTTAACCGGAAGGGTCCACCCTGACGTTTAAGAATGTAGAACTCCTGGAACTTTCTTGCCCTTTTTTCCTGATGGTTGCAGAGCTCTCTAAATTGGGAGTAATCTTGCATAGATTGTGGGCTCCTTTATGTGGCCCAACAAGGAAAAAATGTGGCAGCAAGTAAGGGGCTGTTAAATGTAATGGGCAAGCAACGTCAAGAGCCATAAAGCAGTCGGATGCGTGGGCCCTGAGCTGGGCTTTTATGCACACGTTGAGAGTTTTGTCTCACAGCCATGCAAGCACTGACACCTGGGAGAAGGGCTGGCAGCCTGCTCACTGGATCCAACAAAGTCAATACCAGCTATGCTTTCTGCATCGTGGAATGGATATCAAAGAAGAATGAGACACACCCCATGCTTAGGAGAGAGCGAGTTAATAATTTAGAAGGGCTGGGTGTGGTGGCTCATGCCTGTAATCCTAACACTCTGCGGGGCTGAGGCAGGTGAATCACCTGAGGTCAGGAGTTTGAGACCAGGTTGGCCAACATAGTGAAACCCTGTCTCTACTAAAAATACAAAAAATTTTTAGCTGGGTTTGGTGGCGCACACCTGTAATCCCAGGTTCTCGGGAGACTGAGGCAGGAGAATTGCTTGAACCTGGGAGGCAGAGGCTGCAATGAGCTAAGATTGTGCCACTGCAGTCCAGCCTGAGTGACAGCGTGAAACTCTGTCTCAAAATAATAATAAAATTAATAATAATTAATAATTTAGAAGGGAGTCAAGATTTACAGCTATCTGATGACCACAGATCTAGAAAAATAACAGCATATGAAGTGGGTAGGATTTGTCACACAGGAGAGTTAAGAAGCCCAGAGGAAGTCCTGTGCTCCTCCAATCTATTTTCTATATATTCTCTGTGCTAAATAAGAATAAAATGTACAGAGTGCCTTATGGCCCAGGAGGACTGATGTGATGTGGGCCTTGCCATGTTTCTCGCACACCATCTCACCAGCCTGTGCCACACACTCATCATGCTGCTGTCACGTCAGTTTTCTCTGTGTTGCTCAGAGGGGCTGAGACATTTTCTACCCCAGGACATTTGCACATGCTTTCATTCATGTGCCTGCAGCTTTTTTTTTTTTTGCTTCCATTTTTTTTTGAGGGCTTACTTCCACTTGTCTTAGAAACATCATATTAATATTGTCTCCCAGGGAAGGTATCCCCTGTCCTCCACTAGCGTATAAGTCTCATGTCATCCAGAGAACACCACTGTTTACCTATCATTATTTTAATCCTCTTTACCTGCCAGAGAATGTATCACAGTCTGTAATTATTGTATTCCCTTTATCTGCTTTTTGTTTCTAGCTACAATGTAATGTTACTGAAGAACCATCTTTTTAAATTTTGTTTTCATCCCTATAAAACTAAGACTGAATACAGTGCCTGAAACATAGTAGCCATACAGTAAATATCTGCTGAATGACTGAAACTGTTATTTTCACTTTATTTTTCTTGCATGATATTATACCATTTAGAGATTTGACTGGCTGCAGAAACATGATTTTAAATGCTACATCCCATGAGGACTGCCAAATGCTGTTAGTTCTTTATTATGATTTGGTCCAGTCACATTTGTTTTCTTCTAAACGTGTATTAGGATGCGAAAATGAAATGAAGCCATGCAGGGAAGAAGAGTAGAATTGGGCACTTCCTATAAAGACTTGAATGGAACACAAAAGTAAGGCAGCTTGAGATCATCAGAGAGCTCAGGGCCAGAGTGAGAACAGAAACGAAGACAGAGATGCCAGAGGCTAGCAGTGCCTCCTCAACACTCTGCTGAGGCACAACAAGGTGCCCCATATTATTCCTTCTCTCTCCTCTCATTCCATCTTCTTGACAATTTTTTTCAGAACATGAAAACAGTATTTTTATGCTTATTTTTACATTAAAATAAATATAATTTTATTATGTAAATGGCAATTTGATATTTGCATTTATACATCTCTCTGTCTCAAAATAAAGAAGGGGAAAAAATTCTTCTTATAGCTCATCACCACACCCTGACATCAATTTCACTCTTCTCTCCTCAGAAAGGTAACTGCTGTTAACAGTGTGAAATACACACTTTCAGACAATTTTCTATCCATTTGTAAGTCTCTATTGTATCTTTGTATTACTATTTTATTGATTTCTGCGCTTTTTTGATTATTTTCTATTACCTATTTTCTTTGGGTCTATCTTCTTGTTTTTTGGGTACATTCTGAAGTTGAATGTTTAACTCATCAATTTCTGCCTTTCTTACTTTTTTGAGGCTATTTTTTTCCTAAGTAGGGTTTCAGCAGCATATCACAATTTTGAATGTTTTTCATTGCAACTTATTCCAAAGTATTTCCCATTTATTTTATGATTTCTTCTTTGAGTAATAAAATATTTTTATGAGTTTTAAGTTTATGAATTGTTTTGGTTTGTTTTTAGGCATTTAGTTAGAGAAGTGCAGTTAACCCTTGAACAACATGAGTTTGAACTTCAAGGGGCCCCTTCCAGGCAGATTCTATTCCACCTCTCCTACCCCTGAGACAGCAAGACCAACCTCTCCTCTTCCTCCTCCACTTCAGCTCATTCAATATGAAAACAAGGAGGATGAAGACCTTTATGATGATCCACTTCTACTTAATGAATAGTAAATATACTTTCTCTTCCTTATGATTTCAATACCATTTCTTATGTCTAGCTTTCTTCATTGTAAAAATACCATATATAAAATTTAACATAGAAATTATGTGTTAATTCATTATATTATTGGTAAGGTTTTTGGTCAACAGTAGGCTATCAGTGGTTAAGTTGTTGGAGAATTGAAAATTAGTCCAGCCACGGTGGCTCACACCTGTAATCCCAGCACTTTGGGAGGCTGAGGTGGGTGGATCATGTGAGGTCAGGAGTTCGAGTCCAGCCTAGCCAACATGGTGAAACCCCGTCTCTACTAAAAATACAAAAGTTAGCCAGGTGTGGTGGCCTGTGCCTGTACTCCCAGCTACTTGGGAGGCTGAGGCGGAAGAAGCACTTGAACCCAGGAGGTGGAGGTTGCAGTGAGCCGAGATGGCTCCACAGCACTCCAGCCCGGGCAACAGAGTAAGAATCTGTCTCAAAAAACAAAACAAAACAACTTGCTCTCTCTCTCTCTCTCTCTCTCAATCTCTCTCTCTCTCTCTCTCTCTATACATATATATACATATATATATATATATATATGAAACAATTTAATCTTTTCTCGATGTGTATTTGTTTCCAGTTTTCTCTTACTAGGAATAAGGCTGTTATGAACCTTCTTCTCTAAGTCTTTTGTGGACACATGTTTTAGCTTTTCTTGGGTAAACACCTTACGGTGGAACTTCTGATTAATTTGGTACATGTACATTTAACTACTTAACAAACTGCCAAACTGTTTTTCCGAGCATCATTTTACACTACCACCAGCAGGATATGACACTTCTAGTTGCTTCAGTTCCTTGCCGAGTTTGAAGTTTTTAACTTTTTAATTTTAGCCATTCCAGGGCTGCGTTTTTGTTATCTCACTGTAGTTTTAATTTGCATTTTCCTAATGATTAGTAATGTCAAACATCTGTGCTTATGCTTATTTACCAATGAAATATCATCTGTATCATCTTTTGTGAAGTATCTATCTGCTGAAGTCTTTTGCTCATCAAAAACTTGGATGATCTACTTTCTTTGACATTTAAGAGTTTATTATATATTCTGGACCCAAGTCTTTTATGCTATGTAGGTGTTGGAAATATTTTCTCCTCATCTGTAAGTTGCCAATTTACTTTTTAATGCTGTCTTCTGAAGGAAGAAGACTGACTCTTGAAAAAGACTGAAATACACGTACCACGAAATTCACCTTTTAAAAAAGTATAAGCAATTACTTATGTTATAGTTAATGCTTTACAACAGGAAAAAGAGGTGGGGGGAAGACTAGAGAAAGGACCAAATAAAAGGAAGCAACATGAGCTTCCGACAGGGATTCAAGCAGAAGAAATGAATAGGAAGTAGTCCCAAATCTTCACATATGACAGATGGATCCCAGTAACGCAGGGAGATTAATTGAAGCAATCTTTGGTTTTGAGCACTGTCTGAATAAAGTTGGTTTGAGTGGCAAATGATGTGAACGACTCACCACAAACTTTCTTAGCAACACTAGAGAGTGAGGGATGACACATTTTGTCATCACTTTTTAAATATTTGCTATTTTTATATCGGTATGTGTATTGCACTATAATATACAGACCATGAAACTCACCTTCTAAAAATATACAATTTGGTAGTTATCGGCATACTTAGGAGAAAAAGAAACCCTGGACAAATTAGCAGTCATTACCCATTCCCTCCCCACTTCAGTGTCTTGTAATCACTGATTTGCCTCGTATTAGTCTGTTCTTACACTGCCATAAAGAGCTACCTGAGACAGGGTAATTTATGAAGAAAAGAGGTTTAATTCACTGACAGTTCTGCAGGCTTAACAGGAGGCATGGCTGGGAGACCTCAGGAAACTTATAATCATGCAATCATGGTGGAAGGCAAAGGGGAAGCATTCACGTCTTACCATGGCAGAGTGAGAGCAAGAGAGACAGAGAGAGAGAGAGAGAGGGAGAGAGAGCGAGTGGAGAGGTGCCACACCCCTCCCCCCCGGCTTTTTTTTTTTTTTTTTTTTTTTGAGATGGAGTCTCACTCTGTCACTCAGGCTGGAGAGCAGTGGTGTAATCTCGGCTCACAGAAACCTCTGCTTCCCAGGTTCAAGCGATTCTCCTGCCTCAGCCTCCCGAGTAACTGGGATTATAGGAACCTGCCACCACGTCCCGCTAATTTTTGTATTTTTAGTAGTGACGGGGTTTCACCATGTTGGCCAGGTTGGTCTCAAACTCCTGACCTCAGGTGATCCAATGGCCTCGACCTCCAAAATTGCTGGGATTACAGGCATGAGCCACTGTGCCCAGCCAGTGCCACACCCTTTTAAACCATTAGATCTCATGAGAACTCACTCACTGTGATTAGAACAGCATGGGGACACACCACCCCCATCATCCAATCACCTCCCAGCAGGGCCCTCTTCCAATTCGACATAAGATTTGGGTGGGGAAACAAATCTACACCACATCATGCCTATTCTGGAGGTTTCATATACATAGAATTATAAAACGTATGGTTTTTGTGTTTCATTTCTTTCACTTAGCATAATTTTTCAAGGTGTATCTATGCTGTAACTTTATTCTTTTTTTCTGACTAAATAATATTCCATGGTATAGACTTACCACATTTTGTTCATGTATTCATCAATTTATGACTATTTGGGTTTTTTCCAGTTTTTTGTTATTGTCAATAATACTGTCAATAATACAAATAATCACAAGTTTTTGTGTGGGTATAACTTCTAATTATTTTCAGTACATAACTGGGAGTGGAATTGCTGGGTAAGATACTTACTCTATATTTAACTCTTTGAGAACTGCCAAGCTCTTTTTCAGAATGGCTACTCTATTTTATATTTCCACCAACAATGTATGAGGGCTCCAGTTTCTCCACATCTTTGTAAACACTTGTTATTGTCTCTCTTCATTACAGCCATCCTTATGGGTATGAGTTGGTATCTCAAGATTTTCATTTGCATCCTCTTCATGACCAATGATGTTAAGATTCTTTCCCTGTGTAGTGGTCATTTATGTACCTTCTTTGGGGAAATAGCCAGTGAATATTTTGTCCATTGTTTAACTGGCTTATTTGTCTTTTAGAGCTCCAAAATTATTATTCTTGCATACTGAGACTTTGCAACCCTCCACCTAGGCCCTGGTAACTGCCATTCTAATCACTGGTTCATTAAATTTGACTATTTTAGATTTCACATAGAAGTGATATCATGCACTATTTGAGTTTCTGTGCCTGGCTTTTCTCACTTAGCATGTCCTGGTACATTCATGTTATCTCAAATAGCAGAATGTATTTCTTTTTTAAAGGTGACATACATTTCTTTAATATAAATAAATATATATGTGTGTATAATGAATAAAGAAAATGTGGTTTGTATATATATATTAACCACACACACATATGTGTATATACTAAATATATGTATTTTTGTGTGTGTATATATATATAATTACACTTTAATTAATTTATCTTTGGACAAGCATTTAGATTGTTTGCATATCTCAGCTATTGTGAATAATGCTGAAATGAACATAAAAGTGCAGATGTCTTTTTGACATATTGATTTTATTTCCTTTGGATGTATATCAGGAAAGAGATAGCTAATTATATAAGCTAACTTTATTTTTAACTTGTTGAGGAATCTCCATAATGTTTTCCATAATGGCTGTACCAACTTACATTCAATCCAGCAATGTACAGGGTTTTAATTTTCCACATCCTCTCCAACACATACTATCTTTCATCTTTCTAATTACCGCCATTCTAACAGGTGGGAGGCAATATTTCATTTTGGTTTTGATTTGCATTTTCCTGATGAGAATGAGTTTCAGAAACTTTTCATACACATCATGGCTATTTGTATGTCTTCTTTTGAAAATCTCTGTTCAGATCCTTTGCCCATTTTAAAATTTTGTTATTATTGTTATCTCTCTATTGGGTTGCATGTGTTTCTTATTTATATATTGGATATTAAAATTCCTTACCAGATAAATGGTTTGCAAATATTTTTTCCACTCTGTAGTTTGTCTTTTGACTCAGTCTATTGACTGTTCTCTCTGATGTGCAAAAGCTTTTTATTTTGACGCAATCCCATTTGTTTATTTTTGCTTTTTCTTGGTGTCATATGCAGAAAAATAATGACCCACCTCTCCCTCTCCCTCTCCCTCTCCCTCTCCCCCTCCCCCTCCCCCTCCCCCTCCCCCTCCCTCTCCCTCCACGGTCTCCTTCCACGGTCTCCCTCTGATGCCGAGCCGAAGCTGGACTGTACTGCTGCCATCTCGGCTCACTGCAACCTCCCTGCCTGATTCTCCTGCCTCAGCCTGCCGAGTGCCTGCGATTGCAGGCACGCGCCGCCACGCCTGACTGGTTTTCGTTTTTTTTTGGTGGAGACGGGGTTTTGCTGTGTTGGCCGGGCTGGTCTCCAGCTCCTAAACGCGAGTGATCCGCCAGCCTCGGCCTCCCGAGGTGCCGGGATTGCAGACGGAGTCTCGTTCACTCAGTGCTCAATGGTGCCCAGGCTGGAGTGCAGTGGCGTGATCTCAGCTCGCTACAACCTCCACCTCCCAGCCGCCTGCCTTGGCCTCCCAAAGTGCCGAGATTGCAGCCTCTGCCCGGCCGCCGCCCCGTCTGGGAAGTGAGGAGCGTCTCTGCCTGGCCACCCATCGTCTGGGATGTGAGGAGCCCCTCTGCCCGGCCACGACCCCGTCTGGGAGGTGTGCCCAGCGGCTCATTGGGGATGGGCCATGATGACAATGGCGGTTTTGTGGAATAGAAAGGCGGGAAGGGTGGGGAAAAAATTGAGAAATCGGATGGTTGCCGGGTCTGTGTGGATAGAAGTAGACATGGGAGACTTTTCATTTTGTTCTGTACTAAGAAAAATTCTTCTGCCTTGGGATCCTGTTGATCTGTGACCTTATCCCCAACCCTGTGCTCTCTGAAACATGTGCTGTGTCCACTCAGGGTTAAATGGATTAAGGGCAGTGCAAGATGTGCTTTGTTAAACAGATGCTTGAAGGCAGCATGCTCGTTAAGAGTCATCACCACTCCCTAATCTTAAGTACCCAGGGACACAAACACTGCGGAAGGCCGCAGGGTCCTCTGCCTAGGAAAACCAGAGACCTTTGTTCACTTGTTTATCTGCTGACCTTCCCTCCACTATTGTCCTATGACCCTGCCAAATCCCCCTCTGCGAGAAACACCCAAGAATGATCAATAAAAAAAAAAAAAAAAAAGAAAAATAATGACCCAGACCAATATCAAAAAGCTTTTTCTCTATCTGTTCTTCTAGTAGTTTTATGATACTAGGTCTTACATTTAAGTCTTTAATTCCTTTTTTAGTTAATTTTTCTATATGCTAGAGATAAAGGTTCAATTTCACTTTTCTACACATAGATATCCAGTTTTCCCAGCATTTGTTGAAGAGATGACCCTTTGTTTTCTTTCTTTCTCATTATTTTCCTCTGACTGGGTAGTTTTAAGTGATCTGTCTATGAATTCACACTGATTCTTTCTTTGCTTGATCAAGTGTGCTGTTAAAGTCTCTATTAATTTTTCTTCAGTTCAGTCACTGTATTTATCATCTCCAGAATTTGTTTGTTTCTTTTTTGTAATTTCAATCTCTTTGTTGAACTTTATATTTTGTAAATGTACTGTTTTCCTGATTTTTTTTTTTTTTAGTTGTTTATCTGCATTCTCTGGTAGCTCACTGATATTCTTTAAGGCAATTATTTTGAATTGTTTGTCTGGCAATTCCTAGATCTCAATTTCTTTGGAGTCAGTTACTGGAACATTATTGCGTTCCTTTGGTGGTATTATGTTTCCTTAAATTTAGGGGTTTCATGTAGTTTTGCGTCGACGTCTACATTTGATAGAACAGTCACCTCTTCTAGAGTTTACAAATTAGTTTCAGTGAGGAAGAACATTCACTTATAGGTCAGTACAGAAGCACTGGATGTGTGATACAATTCTGGCTCCAGAGAGAGTACTGCAGTGTAGTCTCTGTATGGTTCTGTCAGTTGAGGTTAGCATCAATAAAGACAGTACAGTTTTTGGCAGCTAGGGCTGCTGGGATCATACTATTCTGTCTTTGACCCTCATAGGGAAATCATCTTAGAAGATATTTCTCTTTGTTCTAGGTCTACCATGCAGTGGCAGGGTGGCAGTGTCAGATGTGTGAGTGATTGTGGAGTAACCATGAAACCTGGGACCAGAATGCACCAATACATGGAGTGACCATGGCTCCAGGGTTTGGGATGAGGGGATGCAGAGTAAGGCAGTGGAACTGGTTTCCGGGCAGCCATGGAGCTGGACTCTGGTGCTTCACAATTGTGTGCAGATGGGTTGTATGTGTGTGTATCAGGGTGGCTTTGGCCATCAGTGTTATAGCACCAGCTCCTTCTCCAAGGGTATTGAAGCAGTTTCAGTGGTTGTTGAGATCCTCAGTGGTGAAGGTTGCTCGGGTCCTTTGGAGACAGGCCATGGGGGATCATGGTGGATCTCATCACATGGCTGATACTGATCACTCTCATCCTTCTATTTTGTTCCTAGCCATCTCTAAATGTTTCATCTATGTCAGTGTCCCCAGCAATCTAGGTGGCGTGAAACTGGAATGAGTCCTTTGGGCAGTGTCCTGAAAGGTTAGGAAAGTTGATCACTCACTCTAATCTCTTTTTCCCTGGGAGGTGAACTCATGAGCTGGAGAGTTTGCTCAGTGCCGAGCTGTGTTTGCTTGGTCGATGGGATGATGCATAAAAAAACAAGCTGTTCTTTTTTTAATCCTTTCTGTGCTGTTATTCTCCTTTTGTTTTCCACTGTGTTGCTGCAACTGCTTAACTGTACTGCCTAACTCTCCAATAACTATTTTCATTAGTAATGATTTCCAATTGTTTTCTTTGGGGGAGACAAAGGATGAGATTTCTTATTCTACCACCTTCTGGATTTCACTTCTGCATTTATTTTTATATGTTGAAACAACCTTGTGTTTCTTGGATCAATTAGACTGGGTCATGGTGTACTAAGTTTTATACACTTTTATATGCTGCCAGATTCAGTTTGTTGGTATTTTGTTGAGAATTTTTGTTTCTATATTTATCTGGTATGTAAGATCTGTAGGTTATTGTTATTTTCATATATTTATTAGGATAACTTTGACTGTTTTGTTGTGTCAGGGTATTAATGACCTTATAAAATAAATTGGAAAGTATTCCCAGTGCTTTTTGTTTTGGAAGAATTTGCAAAGGATTTATGTTATTTTTAAATAAACTATTTGATCAAATTCACCAGTGAAGCCATATGGTACTGATTTTTTTTTGTAAGATTTTTAAAAATTGTGATTACATATTCATTGTATTTACAGGTAATAGGTCTATTCAGCTTTTCTATTTCTGCTTTAGTCAGCTTTGACAGTGTGTTTCTTTTCTATTTCACTAGATTATCTAATCGATTGTCATACCATTGTCTGAATCATTGCATTAGATTATTTTTGTTTCTGTACGCTGATATTAGTAGGGCTTTTTTAATACCCAATTTTGGCAGGATTTTTGTTGTTGTTGTTGTTGTTAGTCTAGCTAAAGTTTTATCAATTTTGTTGACCTTTATGAAGAACCAGTTTTTAATTTTTTTCTAATTTTGTTTTTTATTTTATTAATTTTTGAATCTAATCATTAGTATTTCTTATGTTAGCTTTGAGTTCATTTTACTGTTCTTTTTTAGTTTAAGAACACTTAGGTTTTTTATTTGTGTTCTTTCTTCTGTTCTTATACAGATCTTTAATACTATAAATTTCCTTCTAAGCACTGCTTTCACTACATTCCAGAAGTTTTGTATGCTGTTATTTTATTATCATCTTCTCAAAGCATTTTATTTTCCCTTTTCATTTCTTCTTGATTCATTCATTTTTTTGAAATAAGTTATTTAATTCCACATATTTGTGTATGTCCCAAGTTTTCTTTTGTTATGATTTCTAATTTTATTCCACTGTAATCAGAGAATATACATGATATAACTTAGCTCATTTGAAATATATTAAGACTTGTTTATGACCTACTCTATGGTCTATTCTGTAGAATGTTCCATGTGCACTTGAAAAGAATGTTTATTCTTCTGTTCTTCAGTGAAGTGTTTTATAAATTTCTCTTAGGTCAAGTTGGTTTATAGTGTTGTTCAAGTCATCTTTTTTTCTATTCTGTCTAGTTGTTCTATCCATTATTAAAAGTATAGTATGGAAGCCTCCAACTATGATTATTAAATTGCCTATTTCTCTTCTCAGATAATTAAATTGGGGTTCTATTGTTAGGTGCATATAGAGGGTAAAGCCCCTTATAAAGCCATCAGATCTTAGGAGAACTAACTCACTATCATGAAAACAGGATGAGGAAAACTGCCCCCATGATTCAATTATCTCCACCTGTTCCCTCCCACGACCTGTGGGGATTATGGGAACTACAATTCAAGATGAGATTTGGGTGGGGACACAGCCAAACTTTATCACACCCTCTCTCCTCTTTAGGTGACAACTCTCCTGGCATTAATATTAATTATTCCTTTTATTTCTTTATATTTTCACCATCCATTCATGTCCCTCTGCCATAGATAACTTAGTTTTGCATGGTTTGGAACTGTGTGGAAATAGAATATTCTGTACGTATTCCTCTGTGATTGTCTCTTTTCTGCAATATTTTCCTGTTGAGATGCATCTGTGTTCATTACATCATGCAGTTCATTCTTTACTGCTCTACTATTCTATTCTACTATTATGCTACAGTTAATTTGTCCAGTCTGCTATCAATGGTTATTTATCATTTTCTCATTTGGGGGAAATCTATGTTGAATAATGCTATTTGTGAACATATTTGTTGTGTATGTTTCCTGGGGTGTATATCCTGGAAGGAAATGCAAAATAGTGTTCATCAGAGAATGAAAAGTAGATTTACACTGCTGGAGCCTTCAAGGTGCATATATATGTGCGTGTGCATTTGTGTGCATGTGTGCATATGTGTGTGCATGTGTGTACACGTGTGTGTGTGTTGGAGAGGGCTGGGGGAATTGGTGTTGATAGAGAAGATAGAGGCAGTGACCAGTTCATAGAGGGTTTTTTAGGCCAATCTGAGAAGTTTGATCTTCTAGTTTGAAGTAGCCTGACACTCATGAAAGTGCCCGAGGCCAGGTATATGGACTTACACATCATCATTTCACAGATAGCATTGAGGTCTTGGCTGCAGATGATCTCCCAGGGACAGTTTAGGTAGACAGCAGGAAGCTAATCAATAGGACAGTCCTGGAACGGAAAGACGCATGAGGCAGACACAAGAAGGGCATTTCTTCTGCATCTCCCTTTGCCCTTTTTGAAATTTGAGATGACTGAGCATCTCTTGTAAAGATTCAAGGCCACTCTACTTCCGATGTGCACAGGCACTAAGAATGGAATAGCTGTTTTACATTTTCAAATAGTTTTTCTCATTGTAAATACAGTTACAAAAATAACAGTAGTAAGTCCTAACCAATCACTCACAGATAAAGTAGGAACAAAACTGTCTTTAAAATATAGAAGTATATTTGGAGAAAATAAAAAAAACCTTAATAGTTATTATTTCTAATTTTCAAACTGCTATTTTGACCTTAAAACATTTAATGAGTATTTCTTGTAACATTAATTATTATTAAACAATTTCCTTTTGACAGGCTGTATATATATTTCAGTGGATGAATGAGCCCTCATTTATTTAACTAATTTTCCTAAGTTAAACAAATTTTATAAATGATTTTACAGGGTTGTTTTCAATTTTTATCAGAAAATCATATACATTTTGTTCTTTTTTAAAGATTCTTTTTCTATTTTAAGTTCTGGGGTACATGTGCAGGATGGGTAGATTTGTTACATAGGTAAATATGTGTCATGGTGGTTTGCTGCACATATCAACCCGTCACCTAGGTATTAAGTCCACCATGCATTAACTATATTTCTAATGCTCTCCCACCCCCAACCCCACCCCTAACAGGCCCCAGGGTGTCTTATTCCCCTACCTGTATCCATGTGTTCTCATTGTTAAGCTCCAACTTATAAGTGAGAACATGTGGTGTTTGGTTTTCTGTTCTTGCATTAGTCTGCTGAGGATGATGGCTTCCAGCTCCATCCATGTCCCTGCAAAGGACATGATCTCATTCTTTTTTATGGCTGCATAGTATTCCATGGTGTATATGTACCACATTCCCTTTATCCAGTCTATCATTGATGGGCATTTGGGTGGATTCCATGTCTTTGCTATTGTGAATAGTGCTGCAGTGAATGTACATGTTCATGTATCTTTATAATAGAATGATTTATATTCCTTTGGGTATATACCCAGTAATGAGATTGCTAGGTCAAATAGTATTTCTTATTCTAGATCTTTGATGACTCTCCACACCATCTTCCACAATGGTTGAATTAATTTACATTCCCATCACCAACAGTGTAAAAGTGTTTTTATTTGTCTGCAACCATAAATTCTGTTTTATTTATCTATTTATTTTTTTAAATCTTTTGCTTTTTCTTTAAGAAAGATTCTAGAAGTGGAATTTCTGGCCCACGGATGCAATTGTGGTGAGGACATTTGTGAAGCTCTTGTCCAGTGCTAGTCCAGAAGGCTTGTCCTAAGAAGGCTCCCTGAGCAAGAAGGGGTCTGCTGCATAGCCCCTGGCAGGCACCTGTGGCTTTGACCTGGCCTGGCAGGATGCCCAGCTCCACAGGTAGCCTCACAGCCTGGGACATGGGTGTCGTAGAGCAGCCTTGATGTCCCACTTTGCCCCTCCTGCCATTGTTCCTTCTTCCCTGACGTCATTCTGCTTCTGGGAGGACTCCCTTTTGGTTCCTGTGACCTGGTCTTCTGTTTGATTCATTCTTTCATTCGTTTACTGAGCTGTCTTAGTTCATTCGGGCTGTTACGACAAAGTGCCATAGACTGGGTGATTTACAAACAACAGATATTGATTTCTCACAGTTCTGGAGGCTGCAAGTCCAAGGTCAAGGGAGTGGCAGATTTGGCGTCTGGTGAGGGCTGCTTTCTGGTTCATTGAAGGAACCATCTCACACCATCCTCCCATGGTTAAAGGAGCAAGGCAGCTCCCTGGGGTCCCTTTTACTAATCTCATTCTTGAGAGCTCCATCTCATGTCCCAATCACCTCCAAAAGTCTCCACCTCCTGATATTATTGCCTTGGGAGTTAGGATTTCACCATATGAATGTTGGGGGGACATGAGCGTTCAGTATATAGCGCTCCCCTTTCAACACATAATTACCACGTTTTCATTTCCGGTCAGTCACTGCAGTAGGTAATGAGGACACAGTGGTACAAAATGCAGACAAAGGGTAGGAGAAAAATGGACGTTTAACCAAGTGTTTCCTAAGCAAGTGTGTAATTGCCACTGCTGACAGCCATCTCCAAAGAATGCATAGGTAGACCTTGAGTATCCTGCAGAGGTGAGCCTCTGCTCCCCGGACTTGGGTAGCTTGAAGCCAGAACTGTGGCTTATTCGTCTCTACACAGTGGACACTCAACCAACATTTGTTGAATTAAGCTCCCAGTGACTCAGTGGAGAAAGAAGCCCAGCCTGGTGGTGGAGGAGTAGAAAGAATCCCCAAATGCGAGGAAAGGAGATGCACCAGAGAAACTGCCGACGAGAAAATGTCTACCAGCCTTTTGATATTCTACGCTATTTCTTCCGCTATTTAAACAAATTAAAGAATTTTAAAAATTGTAGAGTGATAGGCCATATTTGTAAAAAAAAAAAAAAAAACTAGGATACAGTGGAAATGAAAATAAAAATATGCTTTGAGCACTCCACATAATGGAAGAGACATGAACCCTGAAATGACTTACAAGTATCTATCTATTGGTCTTGAAATTTTCATGGCTGCCTGGATGTTCTCAAAATATATTAAATTCTATTAGCACGCTTTTCTTCCTCTAGAGAATGGCATTTCCTGGAGATATTTTAAAATTATTTTTCTAGGAATACCTGGTCTAGGTGGCTCTCAAAATATCTTGTTCAATGGTGACTTGAGCTTCAATATAATTGTTACAAGGACACTTACAACTTCAGACTCTTTATCCTGAATGCTTGTTGTTTGAATGAAAAGTTTAATCAATGTGTAGCTTGAGTTCGCTGTCCTGTCCATCACATAAACCAAAAAGGTGATGTTGAAAAGAAACAAGGCAAATCTTACTAAGAAAAGCTATGTTTTTAGTGCTAGATGTCAAAATAAAATAAAAAGAATGAAATAGGAATAACTGTTTGCCTAAACTTGGCAGTAAAGTTTGCCAGGAAATGGTGCTGAACAGGAAGCTTTCAAAAGGAATCAGGAGAGCTGGCCTTTGTGATTTGCAAATCACTCTGTTTAACCTTAAGAGCCATCACTCCCCCTCTTCATTAGAATAGCAAATTAAAAGGTTCACAGAAACAGCTCAGTTTGGCTTAGTTTAAGTCCCTTCTCAGAAAATGTGAAGATGAATACGATATAGAAATCAATATTTCCCAGCTACAGGTAATCTAATGTGTGGCACATTTTCTTCCACCCTCCTCTTTGCTCTGGCTGTCCACATGCTATTCCCATAATCCTTAAATCCCCAGCTTATTCCCATCACCATAGAAACACCTGCTGGCCGATCAGTTTTGACCAGTTGCCAGCCCTGCTCTTCACAGCTTTAGCTCCTGCTGCTGCAGGGCAGAAGAGCAGAGGTGGGGAGTGGCTCTAGGAATCTTTCTCCTCTTCCGTTATCTGACTGTCTCCTTAGGGAGAAATGCACCCTGAGGTTTTATTCTTTCTTGCATTAGCAAGTGCTTAAATGCTATGAGGCATGATCACTTTTGAAATATCGTATATAAATTTGGACAGATCTAATTATTTATCTGCCTACTTTCTCTCCCTTCAAAGTGAAAGAGTGTCCTCATTATTTTTTTTTCTATTTTATATTACTATGGTGAAATACACATCACATAAAATTTTCTATCTTAACCATTTTTAAGTTTACAGTACTGTTAATTATATATTCACATTGTTGTGAAACAGATCTACAGAACTTTTTCATCTTGCAAAACTGAAAATCTGTATCCATTAAACAATCATTCTCCTTCCCCCAGCTCCCCTGAGCTCCTGGAAGCAACCATTCCATTCTGTGTCTATGATTTTAACTACTCTAGAAACCTCAGTTGGAAGCACATAGTATTTGTTTTGTTGTGAATGGCTTATTTCACTTAGCATAATGGTCTCAGGTTCATCTATGTTGTAGTGTACGTCAGAATTTCCATCCTTCTTAAGGCTTGATAAAACCCCATTGCATGTGTACACCACACCTATGCACTCATTCATCTGTTGATGGACACTTGGGTTGCTGCAACACTTTGCTCATTGTGAATAATGTTGTTATGAATATGGTTGTACAGATGCTTTTTTTCAATCCCTGCTTTCAGTTATTTTGCGTATACATTCAGAAGTTGAATTGCTGAATCATAACATAATTTTTTAAATTTTTGATGCATCTCAATACTGTTTTCCACAACAGCTACACCATTTTACATTCATGCCAACAGTGCACAAGGGTTTCAGATGTATGATCTGAAATATTTTCTTCTGTGGATTGTCTTTTTACTCTGTTGATACTGTTTTTTTGATGCATAAAAGTTTTAAGTTTTCAAGTTACATTCATCTATTTTTGCTTTTGTTGCCTGTGCTTTTGTTGTCATATTCATAAAATTATTGCCAAATCCAATGTCATGAAGGTTTTGCCCTACGTTTTCTTCTAAGAGTTTTATAGTTTTAGGTCTTACCTCTAGGTCGTTGGTCCATTTTTGATTTAATTTTTGCATGTGGTGTTAGGGAAGGATCCAACTTCATTCATTTGCATGTGGATATCCAGTTTTCCCAGCATCACTTGTTGAAAAGGCTTTCCTTTCTTTCCTTTTTTGAATAGTCTTGGCACACTGTCAAAAATAATTTAACCACACGTGTGAAGATTTATTTCTGAGCTCTTTATTCTATTAGTTCATATGTCTGTGTTTATGCCAATACCGCAATGTTTTCATTATTGTTGCTTTGCGGTAAGTTTTGAAATCAGGAAGTAAGTCCTCCAGCTGAATTCCTTTTCAAAATTGTGTTGTCTATTTAGGGCTCCTTGTGATTCAATATGAATTTGAGGATTTTTTTCTGTAAAACATTTTATTGAGATTTTGATAGGAATTGCATTAAATCTGTAGATTGCTTTGGGTAGTATTGACTACTTAACAATATTAAATCTTCCAACCCATGAACATGGAATGAATTTCTGTTTATTTATGTCTTTTAAATTTTATTTCAGCAATGCTCTATAGTTTTTAATGCTCTCTAGTTTTTATAGAGCATTGCTGAAATAAATTTTACAAGTCTTTCATCTCCTAGTTAATTTCTAAGTATTTTTGATACTATTGTAAATATTGTTTTTGTAATTTCCTTCTTAGATTGTTCATTGTCAGTGGGTAGAAATTAAACTGATTTTTGTTTCTTGACTTTGTATTCTTCTACTTCGATAAATTCATTTATTATTTCTAACTATTTATTTCTTTGGTGGACTCTTTAGGGTTTTCTATATATAACTTCATATCATTTGCAAATAGAAATTATTTTACTTTTTTCTTTCCAATTCGTATGCCTGTCATTTCTTTTTCCTGCCTAATTGCTCTGGCTAGAGCTTCCAGTTCTACATTGAATAGAAGTGATGAAAGTAGGCATCCTTGTCTTATTCCTGATCATAGAAGTAAAGTTTTTTTTTTTAATTTTTCATCATTAATTATGATGTTTGCTATGGGGTTTTCATAGATGGCTTTTATTATACTGAGGTAATTTCTTTCTACCCCTAGTTTGTTGAGTGTTGTTAGTATAAATGGGTGTTAAATGTTGCCAATAATTTTCCTGCATCAATCGAGATGATCATATGGTTTTTTCTTCATTCTAT
Source organism: Homo sapiens (assembly GCF_000001405.40). Lineage (NCBI taxonomy): Eukaryota > Metazoa > Chordata > Mammalia > Primates > Hominidae > Homo > Homo sapiens. The sequence goes on along the minus strand of NC_000010.11, from coordinate 2,796,233 downwards.
GTGCTGTATTACATTGACTGATTTTTATATGATGAACTATCCTTGCATTCCAGGATTAAATTCTACTTGATCATGATGTAAAATCCTTTGAATATATTACTGGATCCAGTTAGTATTTTGTTGAGGATTTTGGCATCAATGTTTACTTTCTGTAGTTTTCTTTCCTTTTTGTGTCTTTGCCTGGCTTTGGTATAAGAGTAAAACTGGTTTTCTAGAAGGAGTGAGAAAGTATTCTCTCCTTTTCAATTTTTAAAAATATTTCAAAAGGATTGGTATTAGTTCTTGAAGTGTTTCATGAATTTACCAATGAAGCCATCGGGTCTAAGGTATTTTTTCATCAGAAGATTTTTGACTACTGATTTAATTTTCTTAATAGTTTTATGTCTTTTCAGATTTTATATTTATTTGTAATTTAGTCTTAGTGGGTTTTGTGTTTCCAGGAATTTGTCTTTTTTCTCTAGGTGATCCAATTTCTTTGTATACAATTGTTTAGGTACTATTTTATATTTCTATTTTATTTCTGTAGTATCAATAGTAATGTCCATTTTCATTTCTGACTATTAATTTGAGTCTTCTCTCTTTTGTTCTTACTCCATCTAGCTAAAGCTTTGTCAATTTTGTTAATCATTTAACAAATCAACTTTTGGTTTTATCAATTTTTTTATTGTTTTTCTATGCTTACATCATTTATCTCCCCTTTAATCTTTATTATTTTCTTTGTTCCACTAGCTTTGGGTTTAGTTTGTTCCTATTTTTCTAGTTGTAAAGTTAAGTCATAATTTGATATCCTTTTCATTTTTTAATTTGTATTTATAGTTATAAATTTCCCCCTTAGCCCTGTTTTCTTAAGTTTTGGCATGTTGTGTTTTTGTTTTCATTAGTTTTTAAATAATTTCTATTTTTTCTTTGATCCATTTGTGTGTAAGAGCATGTTGTTTAATTGTAAAATTTGTGAATATTTCTATTTTACTTCTGTTATTTATTTCTAAATTTATCCTGTTGTAGTCAGAGAAGACACTTTGAATAATAGCTATTTTTAAAAATTAATTGAAACCTAATTGTGGCCTCATGCATAATCTATTCTGGAAAATGTTTTATATATACTTGGGAAGAATGTACATGCTGTTTTGGGGTAACATGTTCTGTATATAACTATTATGTCTAATTGATTTATTGTGTCATATAAGTTCTCTGGTTTCTTACTTATCTTATGTATGGGTTTTCCATCTATTATTGGGAGTGAGATACTGAAGTCTCCAATTATGATTTTAGAACTGTCTTCAATTCTGCCAGTTTTTGCTTTACATATTTTGATAGTCTGTCATTAGGTATGTGAATGCTTATAAATGTTATATCTTCTTGTTGTATTGCACCTTTTATTAATATATACTGTCCTTTGTTTTATATAAAATTTTAATTTACAAGTTGATTTTGTCTGACATTCATATAGCCATCTCTGCTCTCTTTTGGTTACTATTTTCAGAAAACATTAAAAAAATCCTATTACTTTTAATTTATTTGTTCCTTTGGATCTGAAGCGAGTCTTTTGTAGATAGCATACAGTTAGATCACGTGTTTTTAAATTCTGCCAATCTCAGTCTTTGATCGGAGAATTTAATCCATTTGTATTTGAAGTAGTGCTGATAAGAAGGGACTAACTTGTCATTTTACTGTTTTCTACATGTTGTATAGCTTTTTGTCCCTCTCCCTCATTTTTACATTACCGTCTTATTTTGTATTTAGTTGATTTTTTATAGTGAAATGTTTAAATTTGTTGTGTTTATATTCATGTTTTTTATCAAATATGGAAAGCATTAGCCATTATTTTATTGAATATTCTCTCTCCCCTTTTATTCTTCTTTTTCTGAGACTTCAGCAATCCATATGCTCGTGTTGGTGGTGTCCCAAATGTCCCTTAGGCTCTGTTTACTTTTCTCCAATCTTTTAATTTCTGTTCCTCAGATTCAATAATTTAAACTGTCATATCTTCGAGTTTACTGATTCTTTCTTCTACTTGCTAAAATCTGTCCTTGAATCTCTTTGGTGAATTTTAAACTTCAGTTATGATAGTTTTCACATCCAGAGATTCTTGTTGTATTTGTAGGTTTTCTGTCTCTTTATTGATATTTCCATTTCATTCATACATCATTTTCTCAATATTTTCCTTTGTATTTTTTTTTGTTGGAAAATACATACTTGATTCTAATCATCGAATTTCCTCCTTCACCAAGGTTTGCTGTTTCTTTGTTGTTGTTGTTGTTGCTATTGTTGTTTTATTGCTGTTTTAACTGGTTTAGGCCGTCTCTGTGCCAAGAATAAGCCTGAGTTATAAACTTCAGGTCTTTTCAGTTTCTTTCTGAGCCTTTCCCTGGGCATGTATGGTTAATTTCTAATTTTCCTCATAGATACATTTGTTTTGAATGTTCTAGTCTTTAATGTCTGGCTCACAAAAGGAAAGGAAGAAAAAAATGGAGGGAGGGAAAAGGGGTACTAACCCTTTAAATCCCCTGAAAGGTACATCAGCCAGAGGGAAAAAGGGCTTGAAGAAATGGAGGGAATTGCAGTGACAATCGTCACTGACTCTTTCTCTGCACCTCTGTGATCAAAAGCAGCAATCAGAGCATGGATCCCTGATGTTTGGGATCAAGTCCTTATTTTCCACTATGGATCTTGCAAGGAATATGCAGGCTGATTCAGGGACATGCTAAGAGCTAAAATTGACCAATATTAACTACAGTTTACCATCCAAGCTTTTTCCTGTTGGTTGTAAGCCTACAATAACCTCTAGAGTTCCCAAATAGTTACATCAGATGAATTCTGCCATTGCAATTATTGTTTATATTAGGGGATGGATTTCTAGTGCCTCCTTCTCTGTCATCTTTCTCTCCTTGTTCTTCTTACATCTTCTCTCACTTTTAAGTTTCCATTGTCCCCAGAATACCCTTTGGATAGTGAGAAAATAATCAAAGTTGGAAAAGACTCTTCTGGGAGGAATGGTTTTAGCCTTAAGCCAAGACCTTCATACAAATGAACATTTGTGCTTGTTGCATTAAGGGTTGTTGTAGGAGATAGAGACAGGAGAAGGTGGTGGTGGTCTATTAGGCTTAGCTCCAGTTCCTAGTACAAGACATGGTATGTATTTCTGGAAATTCTGAAATATATGCAGTGAGTCTGAAATATGTACAGGTTAAATATAAATGTTAAAGAAGAAAGGAAAACTACATAGAAGCAATGACCACATTGAACCATTAAGTTGATTTGGTCATTTCAGTTACTGCAACAGTTGATGAGGATTGTGCCAGAATTGATCCAGCTGCTGCAACTGGTATTGATCATTCCAATAGTGAAAGAGATGAGATCCTCATGTCACACTGCAAAATGAAGTGTAGATTTGCCAATTATTCTCTTAATCTGATCCATACCCCGTTGTGATTGTTTTTCTTTATGTCAGTATTGCCAATTCTCTTTATGGGATGAAGTATTTTCAGTGTTTACCCCAAAGTGCTTATAAACTCTCATCCCAATCTCTCTTCCAAAATGTATGTCACATTTTGAGACCACTTTCAGCCAATTTGAATTAGACAACATAATAAGGTGATAATGACAGACATATGATGACAAGGAAGTTTCACTATTATGCCCAAGAAGGGAAAAATATGGAAAACCATCCAAAAAGGCATGGAAAAAAATTCATGGGGATTGTTAAGTTACATGATGTTTTAAATAAAATGTGCTTTTTCTGAAAAACTATTTTGTTTCCATTAATTAAATTGAATTTATCATATCAAATAGCTTGATCAGATAGCTTTCAACTAAACAGTGTAAATAGGTTCTATTAATTGGGGGAGGAGAGAGGCATATGATTGTTTCAAGTCCTGTTTTCAGTTAAATTCAGCTTAGCTAATTGGATTGATCATGCAGTTACCCACCCTGGCTGCTAACATGGCCAAACCACCAACTCAACCACATCCCTACCCAGTGCTTTCTGCTCTGTGAAATATGTGCTAAGTTGACGTAGCAAAAAAACCCCTGACCAGACTTTCCAAGGAACAAGTGATGTTAAAGATGGTGAATTGCTTATTTCCTCCTGTATAATTAAACACCACAGCTGAAACTATTTGAAGGGTATAATAGCCTCAGTAAAATTTATATTTTAATGTAGTTCTATTCACGTGCTAAAAAGAAAAAAACAAAAATGAAAGCAAAAAACAAAACAGAACAAAAACCCACAGGGTTTTTTTGATGTTTCTACCATTAGCTCTTGATTTTCAGACTGGATGGAACAGTGCTAAGAATGTATGTCTAAAGTTCTTTGGTTAAATTAGAAAGTAAATACTGTTTGCTACATCCCAACACTTTTTGAAGATGGATTTCATTTCTGGTCCAATTTACACCTATTTGCGTAACTTGAAAAGCAAGCCACCTATATTTCCATTTATTCTGAAATGTCTTTTCAACCAAAGTGCCTAAAATTTCTATCATTAGCATCACTAGGGTGGACTATAATAATTTATGTAGTTGACAGACATTAAAATGCAAATATTATTCAAGATGGAAAAGTCCACTTAATAGTTCAGTGGGATTTGATTCACTTGGCAGATTAAAGATTAGTGAAGAGGACTCAAAGAAATGAAAACAATCTTTTCTTCTCCAAGGAGGAGCAAAGAATAGAAGGCCAGGTCAGGGCACCAGAGAGCCCACAGCCAATGTGCTAGTGGATGTAGGGTGTGTGTGCACTAGTGGATGCGGGGTGTGTGTGCACTAGTGGATGCGGGGTGCATGTGCATTAGTGAATGTGGGGTGCGTGTACACTGGCAAATGTGGGGTGTGTATACACTAGCGGGTGCGGGGTGTGTGTGCTTTGGCGGGTGCAGCGTGGCACAGGCTCCAGTTTCCCCAGGGTTCTTTTGTTTTCTTTTTTTTTAAATCCGACCTTGTCCATTTCTTCTACTCTGCAGAAGTTTGTAGGGCATGAGGGTGGGCTCTAATTTTTGCAACCTGTTGTGTGTTGTACCCCTATCACTTCATTCGCCCTCCGCTGGGAGCAGGCAAACAATTCCAGTAGTCCTAATTTTTTTTTTCTTCTGAGACATGAATTGAACCTGATTTTTTGTAAGTCCCCAAAGGAAACCCCAAAGTCTCAGGTCTTTTGTAAGGTGCAAAACCAAATTAGAGGTTACAAACCAGACCTGCACTGGGGCTCCCTGTTGAAGACTGAGGCTGTCACTGCACTGACCACAGAGGATTACTCCTGTTCTGTTCTCTGTGGGAATTGATGGCTGCTTACTCTTGACATTTCCTGGAGACTCTGTGGCTTCCCAGATGTTGTCCCCTCCCAAGCCCACTCAGCTAAATCGCTGCTAAATGAAAAGGCGGATGTTTGAAGTGAACGCTACAAACTGAATTTCAAATGCCTAATAAGGTACTGAAAATTACCTCAAGCTTTCCAATGTCACAAACTGTAAAAATACAAATTAGGCTGCAAGTGCAGCCCAGCCACAATGAACACTACTATATGTTCAAATAATCAAGCTCTCCTTTGCGGAGTCTATTGAAGGAGATTATTATGAGCGATAGTTCGCTAATCATGATGTGACAACTATTTCTGTCGCATTGATCTCCTCTGGCTTGTCTGTTTTGTGGGTGATGCTCACGCGTTCTAAGAAGGTGACGTTTTCCCCCACAGAGACAGCTCTTCCTGGAGCTCCAATTGATGTGAACCTTTGCTCTCAGCCATCATCTGCACACAGCCAGGATTCACAGTAAATCAGAGGAGCGGGGAGAAATAAAACTGGACGGCTTTCAGTTCCAATCACGTCTTGTTTTATCTCGCTCCGGCCACTAAGTTATCGGGAAATAATGGATTTTTATCTGTGAAAGTGAAAGAGCAGGTTTAAGATTTTCAAATTTAAAAATGTTCTCCTTCTGCATTTTATGTCATAAATGGAAGGCTTTCTTTGAGAGAAAGAGGAAAGTTTCATTTTATTCGAATGTAAAGGAGTTTTTTCAAGATAGAAAATCCCGTTAGTTTTTATCCTGAGAAGAAGGCTCTCGTTTTGCATGGAAGCTTTGTAAGGAAGGTGGAATATGCATTCCTGAATGTGTGGTTTTGGAGGGATGGTGGTCGTTGCACATCTTCCCCCTGCAGAGCAGTCAGGGGCACTTGTGGACACACCCCAGAACTTGCTGTATGATTTGCGCTGAGCAGGAGATGTGGTTCTCCTGAGTCCAGCAACCGGCACTCCAGGCCTGAAGCTCTGCCAGTCCGTTACAACCATACTTGCTGGAGTTCTCATGGGGAAGCACAAACAGTTTTAAACATGGACATCTCTTTTCCCAGTTTTTTTAATAGTAACCATCCCCCAAGTTTAAACCTTTTTCTAAACCTCCTTCCAAGCAGGGTGATTGCTCCCTGGCTGGTAGCGGACACGAGTATGCCACACTTCTCCCATGCTTCTACGTAAAGACCCATTAGAGTGCTGGCAGTTGGGCTCAGATCTTTCAGGGTGTGCCCTCTGGGTTCCCTCTAAATAACCCATCTAACCCAAATGTAATAACTTGGCATTTGCAACCTTCCAGGTTCAGGCCCATGTACCATGCATGCTGAACCCCTGACTGACATTCTTGCCTTCCTGCTGCTGAAGTTCTAACCCTCTCTGGGGAAAGCTGTGTGCATACATTCTTAACATTTCAAAGTTTTCTGTCACGTGAGGCATAACCACATATACCAGGCCTCCTGGCAATACCCCGATTTTGCTCCTCCAGGCAGCACATCTTACCTGTTACATCTTACCTGTTACCCCGGGAGTAGGTATTTACCTGTGCATCCTGCATCCTTTTCAGAATAGAGACCATAGCTTGGGTTCCTCTGCATTCTGCAGGGCCTGTGGATTGCCTTGTGAGTAGTAACTGCCAAATGCTATTTTGAGTATAATTTTATTATGGAAGATTTGGAGAATACAAAGAACTAAAGATGAAAATTCCATATCGACACTGATTGTCCCATTGCCCATATGGAACCATGGTGCCACTGTAAATTGCTTGGCTTACAGTCCTCCCGCCTTTTTGATGAATGTACATGAATGCATTTTAATACGTTTTCAATAACTATTAGGTTGGTGCAAAAGTTACTGAGATTTTTGCTATTACTTTTAATGGCAAAAACTGCTATTACTTTTGCACCAACCTGATAAGTACAAGACATAATGTCTTTTAGGGATTCTTTATCATTATGCTGGCTTCATGAAATTTGAAAAACACATGAAAACCTGTGGAAGACATTTCAGATGATCTAGAACTGTATTTCTCAGAAAAAGAATTGTCTTAGTGCTTCAGTGTATCTCTTTCACATGTACTTAATATTGTGCAATATAAAGACCAATGTAAAAATTAATAGAGAAAGAGATGACCTGGAATGGCAGAGGTGAGAAAGTAGGCTTGATGCTAGAAAATCTCTTCTACTACAAGATGTATTCAATTCCCCTTCATCGAAAATATGATTTCACTAGTTGAGTGTAAATTTTGAAGACACAGAACCATTACTCGATTTATTTGTGGATGAGAACAGCCATTACCTTGCTGTGGGTGACCACATTGCTGGAGGAAGATACTGTGAACAAGCTCTAGTGCCTTTTAGTCACTCATTTTCCCAGTGAAATGCCACGTTATGATTGATAACTGAGCCATGGTTATGAAACGCTGGAGTGAAACAGCACCAGCCATTGTTTTAGGTGAGTTTCAAATTTGGCAAGAGCTTCTGTGTGTACCCCCAGGAAATGAATGCTGCTTTCTCAACACGTTCTTGGAATTCAACAGGAGGCAGCAACAGAGAAGCACGCATCTCAGGAGGCCCTTCAGAACCTCAGATGACGAAGCCTCCTGAAAACACGCAGTACGCTGGGTTCCTGATGGCATGACCTGTGCTAACACTGCCTTGTAATGTCCAACTCTAAAGTGTTGGCCAGTATTTGGTTGGTGTTATGGTCTCACTGTGTCCCCACCCAATTCTCACCTTGAATTGTAATCATCCCCATATATCAAGGGTGGGGCCAGGTGGAGATAATTGAATCACGGTGGCGGTTTCCCTATACTCTTCTTGTGGTAGTGAATAAGTCTCATGAGATCTGATGGTTTTAAAAAATAGGAGTTCCCCTGCACACGCTCTTTTGCCTCCCGACATAGAAGACATCCCTTTCCTCTTCCTTTGTCTTCCACCATGATTGTGAGGCCTCCCCAGCCATGTGGAACTGTGAGTCCATTAAACCTCTTTCTTCTATAAATTACCAAGTCTCGGGTACCTCTTTATTAGCAGCATAAGAACAAACTAATCCAGTTGGCTAACACATATTTTCACAAAGGATATGCAGATGAACTATTCCCTCGATTATACATATCTGGCAACAGTATTCTGTCTTGTTCTCATTGAAATATATCTTGATTGGATTATACAATTCTTGGATCTCAAACTTTTCTTTCTGTTGATATGCTATTTCATTGCTTCTTGCATTCAGTAGTGCAGAGAAAATTTAAGTTAGCTTGTTTTTACTCCTTTTATTAAAAAAAGAATTTTTTCTATGAATTCTTATGGGATTTGTCATACATATACATCTGCATATACACATACAGACATGCAAGCATACATATTACATATGTATGTATGGTTTCCTATATGCATTCAGTAGGTTAAACAGTTTTTTCTTAGTTCTTTTAGTAAGTTGCTCTTATGCTTCTGTTATTCCTTTGAGTCTTCAACACCGTATTCACTGTTATCTATCTGCATGCAGTGGTTAGTTTTGTGTTTACTTCTCTTATAAAATGATGGGTCAGCTTGTTGGCTGAGAGGAAGTGTCCTGCCCATCAGAATCCATCTCTTGGACACATACTTGTGTATCTAATCTCTTTCATAGACGTCCACGTGTTTAACAATTTGGTGTTGATCATAGCAGAACTCCTTTTTCTTATAGGACTTAATCTGTTGTGGGACGAAAATGGGAACCTCTTGCTTTCAGGTTCTCCCTGATGTTGGACATTTAAATCCAAAGACATGAAAACAAACAAGCCAAGTGCATTACACATGATTTTTAAAAATTGGAAGCGAGTGAAATAAAGGAAGATGAGACAGGAGAAGACCCAGTAGAAAGTGCAGTAAGAACAATACCAAGAAAGGTGCAAGATCTGTGCCGAGTCCTTGGAGCCAACCCTGGCCATGAGACCCTGTCTCCCAGGAATGGCTCCTGCAAATCCTGCAGCTTGCAGTCCTTGAGGGAGCAACTGGTGGGAATACAGCAAGGGGTTTCAAAAAGCAGAGGCTGCAGCCTTTTGTGGAGTTCCCTCCCTGTAATCCAAGATATGAGAGGTGCATTTTCAGGTTTTAGAGTAATGTGTGGAGCTCTGGCAAGCTCCAAAAGTGGCCTCTGATTTTTTGCTTCTGTGTGTGTTTTTGGCATGAACATGAACTCACAGTATTGAATCTGTCGGGATGGGTTCTCATCTGCTGTGGCTCTTGTCTTTTGGATGCACATGTGACTCCGCCTCTTCCCAGCTAGACGCCTTCCAGTGGACTTCTCTGCCACTGGACATGGCCTTCACGGTATTTGATAGGGTTGTTGCTTTAAGTGTCACAAACTGCCTTAGCCTTATCTTCTCTCAGCCCTGAGAACATCCACTTCTCCATGGAGCTCTGGATTCTTGACAGCGGAAGATAGTGTTCCGTAACTACCGTCCAGGCACAGAAAGAGCTATTGCTCTAGAGTGGTTGTTTATGGTTGTCAGAGCAAGATGTATGCATTTTTTAGAAAGATGAGTCATGGATAAGTCATGAGTTTATGCGGATATCACCAACTCAAGCCAAGGAGTAGCAAGCTTTTCCCCAATGTCTTTGACTTTGTCTTGTAACTTTTTTTCTCTTAAAGTGATAATTTTCTCCCAAAAGGCATTAACAAAATTATTCATTTGCTTATGCTAATTTTTTTTTTTTTTTTTTTTTTTGAGACAGAATCTTGCCCTGTCGCCCAGGCTGGAGTGCAGTGGCGTGACCTTGGTTCACTACAAATTCTGCCTCCCAGGTTCAAGCAATTCTCCTACCTCAGCCTCCCAAGTAGCTGGGATTTCAGGCGTGCACCACCACACCCAGCTAATTTTTGTATTTTTAGTAGAGACGGATTTTCACCATGTTGGCCAGGCTGGTCTCAAACTCCTGATGTCAGGTGATCCACCTTCCTCAGCCTCCAAAATTGCTGGGATTACAGGCATGAACACCGCGCCTGGCCTGCTTATGCCAGTAGCTTTAAAATAACATTCAAAACAGTCTCAGGACCGTACTACTCCTGGTGTTGCCCATCGGGATAGTGAATGCACTGTAGGATTTCTTTTTGTGCTTTTATCACATGAGGGCTGTGCTTTCAAAATACTACATTATAAAGTCTGTTGAGGTCATTCTTCTCTTCCTGGTTAAGCTTCCTACTTGAAATAAATCAATTAATTTGGTTCAATCTGTGTTCCTTTTGTAAATATTGCATAGGTATATTTTTCTCTTACCAGATTTGTAAAATCCTGTAACATCTTTACACACTTCCATACTCAAAATTATAAACAAGACCGGTGCAAAGAAATCTAGTTTCCCTTCCCATTCTTACTTCTTTCTTCCCTCTCTTTGCAGGCAACCTTTTTACATTAATTCTTAGTTTTTGGTTACTTTTTTTCCCGAATTATTGTCTCTTTTGTAAAGCAGTTAAACTATTTTGTGGCAAATAACAAGATCTCAACATGGTTAGCTGTTCTCTCTCTTTCTTGCTGTACAGCTGAATCAACAGAGGCCCACTGAGATTGGGTCATCTTCCCAGAGACCTATGGGTCTCTGGCAGAGTCCTGGATTCTGGACCCCACATCCAAGCCTCTCTGAGAGTGTGGGTCTCTGCTCCCCAAACAGGCAGATGCTGTGGAGTCTCTTGTTCATGGTGGGCCAGGGCCCAGGGCGTACTGAGCACCGGAGACTCCATGGTCTCTCTCTTTACAGTCATCCGGGATTTCTTCTTTCAGTAAAAATGCAAAGCTACATGATTTCTATGACAAGTAATGAGAGGGTGAACACTTTCTGTAACATTCTATTTCATATATATTTGATATGTAGAAATAGAGAGTGGAAATTGCTCTGAACTAGGTTCAAGCCTGAAAATTGGTCATTTTTGACAGTTGAGTTAACTTCAGCTCACCACTTTGGTTAATAAATCCTCTTCAACTCTTGACAGACAGGAGAAAGCCACCGTTGTACCGCATAACAACCTCTGGTAATTGCGTTTCCTACCTGGGGTAAGTCTGCTCTCACTGGTACGTGGAGAAAAAATAATACGTGATATTGCTTTTCCCATCACTCTGCAGGGCAAGGCGACCTTCTTTTATGACACGATCTCCAAATTAATTTCATAGTTAGATGACAGAGTCACAAAGGCTTTCTATCTCTGTCTCCTCCTTTGTTTTCTTCTATCTTATCCCCTTCTTTCTTTCTCAAAATTAAGGTATACTAGGAGTATATGTTTGTAATTAATAAATGGTATTTTTCTGAGAAGTATTCTAATCTACTCATTTTATGCTTAAGGAGATGTAGCCTCAGATTCTTCCTCTATATTTTTAATCCATTTTATTTTCTAAAAGTTAACAACATAAAAATGTTTCTGCAAGGATGGTGCCACAACTCAGTCACGAATGAAGGACTCTGTCCACACATCTGGGTTCCTCCTTTCTGACCTCCTCCTCTTCCTAATGGTCACCAGACCCTGTGAGACCTGACTTCTAATAATCTCTATATATGGCCATAATTTGCACAGTTTATTCTTGGTTCTATATTTTAGCAATGAATATTCGCTTATTGCTATTTCTTCTCTTACGTCTATGTTTGTTTCCTCTTCACCATGATTCTATTAGCTTGGTGCAAAACTAATTGTGTTTTTTGCCATTGAAAGTAATGGCACCAAACTAATAACTTTTATTGACAGTATGAACTTGAATTTCTCCAGATCTTTTTAGTTGTTTTTTTTGGGGGGTGGGGTGGGGAGTAAGTACTCATCCTCTACTTTTTCTTGTTGTTTTCTCATTCTCCATTTTATTTATCTTGGTTTATTTTTCACATTGGCATACACAGATCCCATGATAGTGTCTTCCTGGTTATAGGAGGGAGTGGGCATTATTCCTGGTTTATGCACCGTGTTTGTTTGGAAGAGGTGGGGGTTGCACAAGAATTGCAGGGAGACTTAGGAGCTTGGATTGGGTTTTGCCTCGGGACGCTATACCCAACAATGCCTTCATTTGTTTGTCCTGATGATGCAGCATTCTATGCCAGTTTCTCATTTCCAACCACTTATTTCCATCCACACTGGATGGTCCTGATCCAGACCCTGGGGATGCTTTCTGGATGATTCCACCATCCATCCTTGCCTCTTCCATTCCATCTGCCTGCTTGGGTCAGCAAGATTCTTGAAAACATAAGTCAGAACAACACATCGTCCTCCAGTCCAAAATCTGTTCAAGGCTTCTGCTGTTTCCAGGATCAAGTCCAACTCTTCAACATGACCCACAAGGCCCTTTTTCATTCTCCCGCATGCTGACCTCGCTAATGACCGCTTCTCCTTGCGATTTCATGAAATATTCCCTGCCTCTGCCTGGTGAAACTCTTTCAGGTCTCCAAGGACCCCAGGCTTGTCCAGGGTTCTGGGCCATTGCAGATTCTGTTCTTGTTGTCTGGAAGCCCTCCTCCCACACAGCCTCTCCCCTCCTCCCGCACAGCCTCTCCCCTCCTCCTACACAGCCTCTCCCCTCCTCCAACACAGCCTCTCCCCTCCTCATCCTTCCAAGATCGGCTTCCACTTCTCCAGGAAGATTGTTGTGACCCAAGCCAAATCCTCTCCTAGATGCCCCCACCTCCCTGCTTATTGAATTTCGCAGGCTGTAGTGTAACAACCTGCTTGACTTTTGCCTTTCCTGTGAGATAAGCTTGGTGAGGGCTGCATGTGTTTCTGTCTTTTTCTCTGTATCTAATGCTACGTTTTAATAAACGCAGGTTGAATGAGTCATGAGTAGAACGGGAGAGTAGCAAGGGCTGCATCTGAGTAGCCACGCAGGGGTCGGGTCGCAGAAGCCCCGTGTACTGTGTGAGGATTTTGCATTTTTTTCTGCATAGGATGCCACTGAGAGATTTTAAGCAAGAGAAGAACATGAGTGGATTTTCACTTTATAAATCATCCCTGCATCCACATGAAGAAATGTATTAGAGCAAAACGGAAAGCTTAGGGACAGCGGCCAGCAGACTACTGTGATGATATGTATTCGATGAGTGAGGCTCTGAAGTGTGGCGGTGAAGGGGGGGACTCGAAAGATATGGGGAAGCAGCATTCAGAGTGCTTGATAGTCAATAGCAGGTAGGGATTAACATAGAGAGAGAAATCGCGGTGGCTCTCTGCTTTCCGGCTTGGTGACTGCAAGGGTGAGATATGAGGCACTGAGACGAGCAAGATGGGAGGAGAGGGGAGATGGAGGGGCAGCTGCAGCATTTTCAAGGTAGGAGGAGAGGGGAGACGGAGGGGCACCTGCAGCATATTCAGGTGGAGACAGAAAGACACAGTTGTGGTGGAAGGAGAGATCTCTGAGCAGGGAGGAAGTGCAGGAGAGGTGGAGGGAAGCAACAACAGAAGGGTGCATAGGGCGTGGGCTTGATTTCTGGCTCTGCCTCTTACCAGCTGTGTGTGTCCACAAGGTGATTAACCACTGGAACTCTCAGTTTCTTCTACAAAACGGGCATGACCACATGGCCTCATCCACAGGACAGATTATAGATGAAAGAGAAGATATGCACAAAGGCTTTAGCCATGTCTGGCAACAGGAAGTGCTCAAGAAGGCTAATTACTATGAACTGACACCAAAGATCTATTTTGGTGTCATCGGCTTAGAGGTGGTGGTTGTAGCAATAGGAGTGAATGAGAAAGCTTTGGACAAGTGTAAAAAACAAGAGACTTGGTGACTGAATTCTGTGGGGACAATGACATTAAGGGGAAGGCGATGTAGGAGGAGTCCACAGCGGAGATAGATTGTCACCCCAAGGTGAAGCTGAGACAACTGGGCATGACCAAGGGCAGGGGTGGGAGCAGCTGGAGAGCAAGGAGTTGTGACAAGGGAATGCTCTTGGCTCGGGGAGAAAGAGGGAAGGAATAAAGATGGCTGGGGCAGGACACAGCAGCTTGGAGGCAAGTTTAATAGGAGCAGCAAAACGTGAGAACTGGCTGGCGGGTCACGGACTATAAAAGATAGTGGAGAACAAGGGGTATGTGTCCCAGATGGGGTTTCTGGGAAATCTCAGGACCTGGGTCTCTGAAGTGGTCTGGGCATCACTGGGCTGCTTTGGGGAGGCCCCGCAGCTCTCTTGTGAACAAAGACGCGTTTCCATTGTCCCATCCTTGCAGAGCACCCTCATCTGCATTTTGAAGCAATGAGCTCCTTGAAGTCTAATGCCATTACGAACGAGTGTGACCATCTTCCTGCTGTCTGTGTTGTGGAAATGAGCTCTCATGATCTCTTTTCTGTCGTGTGCTGATGCTGCCTGAATCGCGGGTTCCAGAAAAACACACGAATGAGCAGGTGCTTGCTCGGAAGGTCTATTAGCAGGGATCCTTTAGAACCCCAAATCAATATTTAATAACCATTTTAAGAAGAGCTATGTTGAAATTCTACATGTTTTGTCTTGTAGGTCTCATGACTTTAAGGGAACTACAATGTTTTATTTAGTCAGTAATTGTGCTTTGAAACACTGATTTTTAAAATAAAATTAATGGGTTGAATTGATTTAAAAAACCCATCATTTTCATTTGATAAAATATCCCCACTTTTCTAATCATCTCCACTTAAGTAATAAGCTTAAGTTTATTTTTTAAGAGAGGTTTTCAAAATTATGATTGAAGCTTATGATACTTAAAGATCTAAGAGAAGACACACTGAATTATCAGGGTAGAGGTAATACACTCAAGTCTGGAATCTGCCAATAATCAGTTGTTTGATTAAAACTGTCATTTAATTTCTCTGAGTCTTCTTTTTCCTCTCTCATAAAATACGTAGGTTGAATTACATGGTATTTAAGATCCTTTATAATGTCCTGTTGTATTTCCAGATTAATAAAAAACAATATGGTTTGAATTTACAAGACTATCTCACTAAATCTGGGGTTGCTAAACCTAGATGACACTTTGTTAAGTGTGAAACATGTGGATTTAAGGCAAAAAATGGTAGTAGTATTTTACAAAATGGGTAACTACATTTTGAATTCAGCATTTCCACATATGACCATATTTTGTTCCTCTTTTCTGGGATACCCACTAGTACAATAGTAAAAAATTTAAAAAGCTTGAATTCACAAGGACACACAGAATGCACAAAGAGAGACTGTAGTAATAGATTTCAGGTAGGCTGACGGAAATAAGGTGACTGTATTTATAAACAGAAGAAAACTAAAACACAAAGCTCCAACATGGCGGGAAAGTTGAAACTGTCGAAGCAGCTCACAGACAGAGCCCTGAGTCTTTTAGGACATGGCTGGGCAGACAGAAATGGAACAGTGATGCTAGAGCCCTGGTCATTCAAGACGCGGCTGAGCAGACAGAAATGGAAGGGTGATGCTTTAGAGAAACTGAAATGGAGATTTTCTGTGCTCAGTGACTGGGATGTGTAGGGGCTGGACAGGTGTAAAATGCAAACTTCTGTAATGCGTGGGACCTGAAGCTTCCTTCCCCTACTCTAATTCCAGAATGCAGCTGTCAAGCAAAAAGTCCCTCAAGGGGGAGATAGCAGAATTCCTCTCTGTAGAAGAAACTGAATGACCCAGGGAGGAATCCAAGTACTGTCTTTTGGAATATCCCCAACCTGCTCACACCACACTCATCAACTTACCTGTGAAGCCCAGAAATGTAAAAAGCTGTGCCCACATACACGGCATGCCTGATAAATGTTTAACACCTCACCCCGAATATCCAGTGAGCAGATAGCCAAAGATGATGACACACACACACACACACAAACACACAAACACACACAGTTTCCAAAGGTGACAGAAGAAGAACAAATTAAACAGAGAAAAAAGCCCACAGGGAACAGAGTGTAAAGGGAGAAGAGAATCCTAAAATATTTATTCTTAAAGAAATGAGATGAACAAGGTGCTATAAAATAAAAGAATAATCAGAGCATGATTAATATCTCTTGCGCATTTAAAATGTGATAGAGAAAATAAAAGGAAATCAATAGAAAAGCTGGACAATAAAGACAAGCATATATCTCATATATCAAAAAGATAAAAAGTGGAAAATGTACGAAAATTAGAGGGGCAATGTAAAAGTCCAAGTTTTAACTAGTGGTAATTCCAGGAAAAGTAAACAAATAAAATGATAGAAATGATATGATTGTTTAATACAAGACCTGGGCTTCAAGAGGCTGAGTTTACAACCTGAAAGAGTCTGTTGGGTACTCAACACACTGGAAGAAAAGCAGACCAGATGATGGTGCATAATGATACAATTTTAGTTCCTTAACGATAAATAGGCTAGCTAACCTCAAAACTTCTAGGGAGAAGGTCATGTTGGAGAACAGACCACAAAAAGGAACAGGAGTCAGCATGGACTTGGACTTGGGCATCAGCTCGAAATTAATTCTGGATGCTGAATATGAATGACTTTTAACTATGAATTCTACGACTACCTAGCTATCATTCAAGCATGAGAAATGGAATACCATATTTTAACACTCCAAAGACTAATCAATTTTTTTTTTTTTTTGAGACTGAATCTCACTCAGTCACCCAGGCTGGAGTACAGTGGTGTGATCTTGGCTCACTGCAAGCTCCACCTCCCAGGTTCACACCATTCTCCTGCCTCAGCCTCCCGAGTAGCTGGGACTACAGGCACCTGCCACCACGCCCGGCTAATTTTTTGTATTTTCAGTAGAGATGGGGTTTCACCATGTTAGCCAGGATGGTCTTGATCTCCTGACCTCATGATTCACCTGCCATGGCCTCCTAAAGTGCTGCGATTACAGGCATGAGCCACCGCGCCCAGCCATCAATTTATTTTTCATTCACTTTTTTTGATGGGGGAAGCTAGTGGAGCATTTGTTTCAGACATAGTAGACATTAACTCATGAAAAACTTGAAAACAGTGGCTCTCACTCAAAGAGCAGTAAGAGTTATCCCCATGCTGAGAGCAGTCTGGCTGCCCAGGAGGGTAAAAGTCCTGGTTGAAGAGAAGGAAGAAACTAAAAGGAATTGATTAATTATCTGATATACCTGAGTATTTGGGAAAATATTGATAAGCATGTGCTGCTCTGATGGGAATGATTAAGACTTGGTATATAGAAGACTCAGCAAAAAAAAAGAAAAAAAAAAAGGAGAAAATTATTAACTTTGGGAAAAACAAATGTCATAAAAATTCAAATATAATCATAGGCCACTACTTGTCTGCAATTATCAACACTTACATGATTAAAATAATGTAAACTATTGATGTAAGCATAAGTTGTCATATGATGGTAGTATGAATGGAAAAGGAGACAGTGAGTATAAAAGATCCACATTTCATGCATCTTTAGAAGAATCAGTCAATGATTATTACATTAGTAAATCAATAAATCTAACAATATACATATTTTATTTAAAATTAGTGAGATAAATACCAGAATAAGCTGAGGTGAAAATGGTTTTTTCTCTGTGATGTTATTTGCAGCAATGGGGTGAGGGCTGCTGTTTGTATGTTCAGGTTTGTAGTGATTGCATGTCTCTTGTATGCAGGTAGCTTTAATAGATAAACCCCTAAATTTTAGAGGTTTTGGACGATAGTGTTTCATTCTCACAGAAATTCTTCTACAGTATGGCAGTTCTCCAGGGCAGTTCCCTGCAGCGTTGTGACTCTGAGACTGTAAACTCCACCAATTCAACATGGTGGTTCCAAGGTACACAATGCCAACTTTTTCAGAGGAAGAAAATGCTAGAGAAACATTCAAGTTTTTTTTTTTTCATCTCTGAGAAGACGTGACATGTCAGTTCCTTGATAAGAAATTGTGGCACAACCCCACTTAACCACAAAACAGTGAGTTGTATATTTTCTGTGCCCAAGAAGGAGAGAATGACTGGATGAGGGTGTCTGGTTGAGTTTACCATACAGCTTTTAATGCTATTTGAGTTTTACCAATATGAATGTGCTAATTTAATTAAGATAACTAAATAAAGTGTACTCTAATAAAAATGAGTTCATAGATGACAGAGCCATAAGAGATTCCTAAAAGACACTAGCCCCTTTTTCATTTGCTCCAAGAATGCTCACCAGGGTGCTTACAGCTGCAGCGTTTACCCTGAGAGATAACTTTGCCACAAAATATCTTGCTCTTATTATCTTCACATTGCTCTAGTATATCAACCTTGGAAAATAAAGACCTCATTCTATTTATAGCATTATAGTTTTAGTAGTGGTATTTCCATTTATAAAATGTAGTAATTCTCAATTGCTGAAAATGTCAAACTCTAGAAAGCATTTCGACTCACGATGTTAACATTATTCTCCAACAGTTGTTGGCCAGAGATTCATTTGAAGAACCTGATTATTCTGAAATAGTCGACTCAGATAACTCAGTTGATTCTAACGTTGGTTCTGTTTAGAAATAACTTCAAGGACAGTTTTTATATTTTATTTTCATGTTGAAACTCCATCATATTTGCTTCAGCCTCAAAGAGCATGTTTATGTAAAATTAAATGAATGCTGGCAGTGAGCTGCACTTTTTTATTTTCTAAATGGAAACACGGGTTTAGAGGTTAAAGTGGCTGCAGGTAATGTCATGGCCTTGGTTCTTTCCTCAATGCCATTGGTATTGTCAGGGAAGATTTGACCATGGGCTCAACTTAGTTTATCAACACTGATATCTGTATGAAATTAGAATTACACGGCAGATCGATTATTTATTTATTTATTTTTATTTTATCTTATTTTATTTTATTTTTTTTTTGAGACAGAATCTCACTCTGTCACCCAGGCTGGAGTGCAGTGGTGCAATCTCAGCTCACTGCAAACTCTACCTCTTGGGTTCAAGCAATCCTCCTGCCTCAGCCTCCCAAGTAGCTGGGATTACAAGCGTGCACCACACGCCCGGCTAATTTTTGTTTTTTTTAGTAGAAACGAGGTGTCACCACGTTGGCCAGGTTGGTCTCAAACTCCTGACCTCAAGTGATCTACCTACTTCAGCCTCCCAAAGTGCTGGGATTATAGAAGTGAGCCATTGCTCCCGGATGGCAGATAGATTTTAAAAAGTCATCCATCATACATACTATACAGTAAAAAGTAAACCACAAAAGCAAGTCAAATAAATGGAACACATCCATCTTTTCAGCATCGCTGTTCTAAAATATGAACATGAGTCACAATGGTGCCTATACATAAACTCACATGATTCATCCTAGAAATGATGCCCCCCATAGCTCCATCCAAACTGAAGCATTTTCTGCCCTCCACATTAGACAATTTCTAATCTGCTTGAATTTGCTCTCATCATTCCATCCTCTGAAATTACTGCTCCCTTTTTACAGAAGAGTTCAAATCATATTTCTCCTATTAAACTTTCCCTGTCCTTCCAAGAACACGTCTCTATTTATACAGAAACTCTCATCTGGATAACATAATTCGTACTTGGGAGACACAGTATCAAACAGCAGTTCTATTACCGTCTTTTTTTTTTTTTTTTTTTTTTTTTTTTGAGGCAGAGTTTCACTCTTGTTGCCCAGGTTGGAGTGCAATGGCACGATCTTGACTCACTGTAACCTCTGCCTCCTAGGTTCAAGTGATTCTCCCACCTCAGCCTCCTGTGTAGCTGGGATTACAGGCATGCATCACCACGCTTGGCTAATTTTGTAATTTTAGTAGAGACGGGGTTTCTCTGTGTTGGTCAGGCTGGTCTTGAACTCCCGACCTCGGGTGATCTGCCCACCTTGGCCTCCCACAGTGCTGGGATTACAGGCGTGAGTTACTGCGACTGGCCTCTGTTACTGTCTTGTGCAGTTATTTAAATCCTTTTAGCTTCTTTGCATTTTCAGTGCTGATCTATCATTCCTCCATCTGTCTCATAAGCTCCTTTGGGGCAGAGACCATGCCCCTTCTCCCCCCTGCTTCCTTCGCCTATTCTGCATTCTCCTTCTGACCTTCTCTCCTCCAAAGGTGTCTCCTGCACTTGTCGACGTCTTCCATAAGAGATGCCTAAAATAATTGTCGTGGCTACTGAAATGTCTGGACTGCATGTGGGTGGCAGTGTTCTAGAAAGTGCCGTCCTGTCACCTGCTCTGTGCCCGACTGCTCGTGTCACAGTCCCTCCAGAGAACACTGAGAGCTGGAGCCTCCAAGGGTTCTGAACACCTGAGAGCATGGGAGGACTGTTCAGGTGTGTCATTAGCATTGCTCGCTCTTGCTTTTTCCTGCTTGTCAAGGTATTTCCAACACCATGGGTTTAATAGAGCCAAGGCAGGTCTTGATGTCATGTTTTAAAATATATTAACCTTGAGAAATGATGGCCAAGCAGGAATTTATTTCTAAGATGCAAGCAATTGGATGCTAGTCTCCAAATGTGCAAATTTTTCCTAGCTTAAAGTCAGTAGTTACCACAAACACTTTTAACAAATTATCCAGAAACTCCTGATCTAGCAGAAAGGAAAAGAGGAAGAGCAAGGAGTGACATAGTTAGGGAAGGAGAGGAAACAGAAGGGTGGAAAAGAGGCAGGAAGGGAGGAGGGGAGAAGAAACAGGGGGAAGAGTGGACACCACATGAAGCTCTAGAGCCAGCCCTGGGCTATTCAGGGCTACAGAGTGTGTGCACGATCTCCCTCTCTAAATGTGACTGTAAGCTTCCCCTCAGCAACATGGGGACAGAAAAGGAGGGATTTGGGTGGAGAGAGGCAAGACCTGTATTTGGAATCGGGGGAGGACTTGCTCCATTTTGGCAGAAAGCACCCTAGGTGTCTCCAGGTTGAGGTCAGCAACCCACTGATGAATTAGATCTTCAGTTTTTGTGACTTTCATCTTTTGGTGACTTTAATACTGCAGGCAACTTGAGTTTTTCATGGTGTCGAGAGTGTGGCTTCCAAAGACTGCTGTGAATATAGATGACAAGAATAACTGCCCAGGTTTCATGTCCTGAGTCAACGATGTTAGGGTGGGAGATGGAGAGGGAGCACAGGTGTGTCGCCAAGCAGACAGTGTGTGAACTTCCCCAGCGTGCAAGATGTGGGCAGGTGGCAATGGGAGTGTCTGAGATGGGCAGGTGCTTTGGTGGACAGAAGTCATCCATGATCATGCCCCTTCATCACATCAGCATCCCTGACACCTCCTTCTCAAACCAGGGAGCTTGTACAATACTAATAAACTTTTTATCATGGACTAAGTAAGACAAAAATCAGAAGAATTCTATACCGACCCTATGCAGCCCTGGTACACTGCTTCAGTGATTGCCAACACTCTGCACTTCCTATTTTGTCTAGGCTGGCCCCCCCTCACCCCTGCAACTCTCTGCATTTATTACAGGTTTCATGCACTACTCATCTGGGAGGCTTTAACACATACCTGTGTGTGTATCCTAGACACATACATCATACATGTATATGTTATATGTGTGTTTACATATATGCACATATGAACTATGCACATATACTATTCTAATAAGTTTTAATTTTTTCAGGAACATGTTTACAGACAAATTATGTATAATTATTAATACATTTTTCATTTAATTATGATTAAATTAATATAGAAAAGGGCAGCTTGAAGTGGATCAGGACTGTATTTGAAGACACTTCAAAAGGGAATACAGAATAATGTATTTCTAAAAGCAATCTCTCTAGTCCATCCATTTCCTTGTCTTTTGGGAGTGCTGAACCCTCTGCAGGCCAGGTTACCCCTATTAATCTTAGTGGGTTGCATGGCAATGACCTTATGCAAAGGTGATTTTTGAAGCAAGCTGGGTACCATAGAGGACTTTCAACTGTACGTTTTCTTATCTATATCGTTATATTTACTCAGTTTTCTTACAGAGCAGCAGGGTAAGAGGATAGGAGGAATATATTTGATTCCTGGTTAACCACTTAATGGGGAAGCTTCCTTTAAGAAAGCATCTTAACAGGTGGCTAAACTTCAGACACACGTTGGTGAGGATTTTTGTTATTATTGCCAGTTTTGAGATCTATTGTCACTTTTTAAGATGATTTATTATAAGAAATCTTCATTTTACATTTGGAGAGGCTGATAAATTGTAAGTCAAGATGCTCTCAATGGTCTCATTTAAAATATCCGTAGAAACTTTGCTATCTGAAGTGCAGCCTTCTTGAAAAGGAGCTATCATCAGATCCACACCTTAACCTCTGCTCTTGATTTGTTTGGTTCAGATACGCACACATCAGAAACATGGAGCCAACTATGATTGGTTAATTCTGATTTATCTTAGAAAATTAGTTTTAAAAGGTGGCTCTGAAAACATTGCAAGATGCTCCCTGGAAGACCGGGCTAAAGCTGAAGGCGTCTGCTTCACCTCTCTCTCTGACAGTGATTGCCAGGGGCCGACAGTGTGAGGTCTTGCCCGTTTTTCTCATCACACTAACCCCTGACTCCAATGCTGGTTCAGTGCATTTCTGGAATTCACTTTAATGTTCTCACAACACACCCGCCTGCCTCTCTCCTGTTTTGAATTCCTTTTCAATAAAGAAAAGGCGTAAAGAGATTCCTCTAATGGCCCTAATTTGTTAATAATGGGTTTTGTTCAAAACAGAAATTGGTCCTGCAAAGGGGGGCGACCTCTTTTATTCTCCTCCCAGCGCTCCTTGTTGCGGCGGCGGCTCCATTTGTTACAGGGCTCACTTCACCAGGAAAGGTAATTACAGCTGAAATTAAACTCTATGGACTGTGTCCCACCGCCTTCTCCCGCACATCGCGCGGGGAGGCCGGCTCCTGCGTGTTCACCTGTTGTTTAGAAGATTCATGTTTATCTAATGTGAAGTCAATATTATTGTCGGGGAAAGAGTTAGGGTTGCTAACGACCTTCTGGGAGTGCACCTGCCGGCCCGGGCCACGCTCTGCTGGCTCAGAAACCACTTAGCGGCTCTCCAGGCCCGTCTCCTCCACCCAGGTCACAGCCCACCATTCATCTCATCTGAAAACGTCCCACGGGGAGAGAGCCGCAGTGCATAGCAACGGGGGGAGCCGAAACGCTGTCGGAAAAGGGCTGGCGCCGCAGGAGGTGGCCGAGCCAGAAGCCTGGCCATTCTGGGGTGGAGATTCCAGATCCCACCTCTGTCGGGACGCAGAGCTGGGCACCATCCAAGTGTGGCAGGGGATGGGAGCCCGCGCGAGGGTCTTCACCACGGACGGCACGGGGCCGAGGTGTCCATTGCAGAGCCACAGATCTTGGCACATGAAGGGACCCTTTCCTCTAAACTCCACTTTAAGGCAGGTACTGGAGTGGAGCCGCTTTTTATGCAGAAGCAATGCTGAGTAAGAGCATCTGAGGGAATCGGTCTAAATTTTACATGTATGCTGTTAGCCGAGATGCTCCAGAGAATCAGGACAAACAGGATCATTTTATATATCAATTTATTGTGAGGAATTGGCGCCCAGGGTGATGGAGGCTAAGCCCAACATCTTTAGTTGGATCAAGACTCAAGAAGAACCAACGATTCAGTCCAAAGGCAGGAAGAGCTCCACGTCCCAGCTCTAAGGCTGTGAGGCGGAAAGGACTCTCCCTCGCTCAGGGCAGGGTCAGCCTTTCAGTCTGTTCTGACCTTCAACTGATTGGATGAGACCCACCCACCCCAGGGAAAGGCAATCTGCCTTACTCAGTCTATGCATTCAAACGTGAGTGTCATCCAAAATACCCTCACAGTAATACCTGGAATATGTGGGTACTCTGTGGCCCAGTCCAGAAGATGACACATAAAATTAATCATCACAAATGTGTTATGTATACACATATTGAGACATATATAGATGTGCAGATGTTGAGAAATATAGGGATTATATGCATATATAGGTTATATATATACATATAATGTAAACATGTAGAGATACCTATATAGTTACAGATATAGATTATATGCATATATGGGTTATGTATATATACACATAGATTATATATGTATATACATGTGTATATATGTATATAAAACCTATATATACATATAATCTCTATATATCTGTAACTAGATATCTCTATGTATTTACATCTGTTTATTTTTGGACTATAACAATACGCATATATTCTTCTTATAGCTCCAAAATAGATGATGTAACATCTCCATTCTTTTTTAATAACAGAAAATAGGTTGGGCATTTACTCTTGCAACTCTACATATTTCAAAGTACTTCAGAACCCCAACTCCTTTCCTCATCAGAACATGCTCTGCCTAAGGAGTAGCCACCCTTTCATTCCTTTACTTTTCAGTAAACTTGCTCTCACTTTAAAAAACAAAACCAAAAATAAACTTGAGTACAGTCAAGAAGAAAAATTATCAGTTGATTTTTTTCATGTTATTTCTCTGCTTTTTCCCTGCTCTGTGAAAATTCTATGAAAGTCCAGTGAAATGTTTAAAAATTATGAATAAAAGGAAATGTCAAGAGACTAGGCATTCTCATTTTGAATGGCGATTATGGTAGCAGAGAAGGGAAAGAGCTGATTCAAGATTTGTTTTGGAGGCTTAACTCAGATGGGCAGCGGCATTGAAGAAGAGAAACAGAACAACCAGTTTGAGTGGTGGACAATGACGTGCATAACACGTCAATTTCCTCAATGGTTATTATTTAGAGAAAAGGTTTGGGCATGAGGCAGTGGAGCTCAAGATCCTCCTTGCACACTTTCCTGTAGGCATTATCAATATGCTACATAAATCTGCATTTCAGGAGAGGTTTCCGCCTAGAGGTACACAATCAAAATAATCAGTAGATAGAGGATGCTGAAAGCCATCAGAGAAGAGAGATCATAGCCAGGAAAGGAAGAATGCCTGCTATCTGAAGTTTTAGGAGAGGAGAAGCAACCTCTGAAAGAGAGGGAGAAAGAAACCTTCTCCCAAGCCTCGGTTTGGGAGGCTTGGGAGAAGCTTTGATTCTCAAGCCTTGGTTTCCCTGGCCGTACCATCCCCTTCTCTGAAGGCTTTCTGCTAGGGGTGAGGTAAAC
The DNA here is from genome assembly GCF_000001405.40 of Homo sapiens. Taxonomy (NCBI): domain Eukaryota; kingdom Metazoa; phylum Chordata; class Mammalia; order Primates; family Hominidae; genus Homo; species Homo sapiens. The sequence goes on along the minus strand of NC_000010.11, from coordinate 2,771,023 downwards.
AGCATATGGAATGGAGCCGGTCAGCAGGCACTTGCACAGTTGCCCTGGGACTCGAAATCTGTCTCTTCTAGGTCGTCTTCCTCACACGGGATCTCCTTCCTGCCCACAACTGACTCTCCTCCACCTCCTCTCACCCTTTCCATTTCTCATGTGCAGATGGACAACAGATGTTTTCCAAGTCCTGTAAGCCAGGTAGCTCCTCTTTTCCAGGAACAGGGGCCCTATTTTATGGCCAGTTGACAGGCTTCCTAGGTTCCCCTGGGCTGGAGAAATTATTTGATAACAGGCCAGGCATGGTGGCTCACGCCTGTAATCCCAGCACTTTGGGAGGCTGAGAAGGGCGGATCACCTGGGGTCAGGAGTTCAAGATCAACCTGGCCAACGTGGCAAAACTCCGTCTCTACTAAAAATACAAAAATAGCCAGGCAAGATGGCACGTGCCTGTAATCCCAGCTACTCAGGAGGCTGAGGCATGAGAATCACTTGGACCCTGGAGGAGGAGTTTGCAGTGAGTCGAAATGGTGCCACTGCACTCCAGCTTGGGTGACAGAGTGAAACTCCATCTCAAGAAAAAAATATATATATTTGATATGGATCTCTCTGGTTGCTTCATTAATCTCACTCCCTCCTCTTGGAATCCAGCTTCCCGTCTTTTCATGAACTGTTGGAGAAATGGGGCGTCTGTGTGTAATGTGATGCTTTCTTTCTTTCTTTTTTTTTTTTATTTTATTCCCATAGGGGAACAGGTGGTGTTTGGTTACATGAGTAAGTTCTTTAGCGGTGATTTGTGAGATTTTGGTGCACCCATCACCCAAGCAGTATACACTGCACTCAATTTGTAGTCTTTAATCCCTCACCCCCTTCCCACCCCTTCCCCCGAGTCTCCAATGTCCATTGTATCATTCGTATGCCTTTGCATCCTCATAGCTCAGCTCCCACTTATGAGTGAAAACATATGATGTTTGGCTTTCCATTCCTGAGTTACTTCACTTGGAATAATAGTCTCCAATCTCATCCAGGTTGCTGCAAATGCCATTAATTCATTCCTTTTTATGGCTGAGTAGTATTCCATCACATACAATACTACAGTTTCTTTACCCACTCATTGATTGATGGGCATTTGGGTTGGTTCCACATTTTTGCAATTGCAAATTGTGCTGCTATAAACATGCATATTCAGGTATCTTTTTTGTTTAATGCCTTAGTTTCCTCTGGGTAGATACCCAGTAGTGGGATTGGTGGATCAAATGGTAGTTCTACTTTTTGTTCTTTAAGGAATCTCTGCTCTGTTTCCCATAGTGGTTATACTAGTTTATACTCCCACCAGCAGTGTAGAATTGATCCCTGTTCACCACATCCACACCAATATCTATCTTTTGTTTTTGATTAATGGCCATTCTTGCAGGTGTAAGGTGGTATCACATTGAGGTTTTGATTTGCATTTCCCTGATTATTAGTGATGTTGAGCATTTTTTCATGTTTGTTGGCCATTTTTATATCTTCTTTTGAGAACTGCCTATTCATGTCCTTAGCTCACTTTTTGATGGATTTTTTTGTTTTTTTTTCCTTGGGAATTTGTTTGGGTTTGTTGTAGATTCTGGATATTATGCCTTTGTCAGATGTACAGATTGTGAAGATTTTCTCCTACTGTGTGAGTTGTCTGTTTACTCTGCTGACTATTCTTTTTGCTGTGCAAAAGCTCTTTGGTTTAATTATGTCCCACCTATTTATCTTTGTTTTTATTGCATTTGCTTTTGGGTTCTTAGTTATAAAATCCTTGCCTAAGCCAATGTCTAGAAAGGTTTTTCACATATTATCTTCTAGAATTTGTATAGTTTCAGGTCTTAACTTTAAGTCCTGGATCCATCTTGAGCTGATTTTTGTATAAGGTGAGAGATTAGGATCCAGTTTCATTCTCCTACATGTGGCTAGCAAATTATCCCAGCACCATTTGTTGAAAAGGGTGTCCTTTCCCCACTTTATGTTTTTGTTTGCTTTGTCAAAGATCAGTTGGCTATAAGTATTGGAGTTTATTTCTGGGTTCTCTATTCTGCTCCATTGGTCTAGGTGCCTATTTTTATACCAGTACCATGCTGTTTTGATGACTATGGCCTTATAGTATAGTTTGAAATCAGGTAATATGATGCCTCCAGCTTTGTTCTTTTTGCTTAGTTTTGCTTTGGCTATGTGGGCTCTTTTTTGGTTACATGTGAATTTTAGGATTGTTTTTTCTAGTTCTGTGAAGAATGATCGTGGTATTTTGATGGAAATTGCATTGAATTTGTAGATTGCTTTTGGCAGCATGGTGATTTTCACAATATTGATTCAACCCATCCATGAGCATGGAATGTGTCTCCATTTGTTTGTGTCAACTATGATTTCTTTCAGCAGTGGTTTGTAGTTTTCCTTGTAGAGGTCTTTCACCTCCTTGATTGGGTATATTCCTAAGTATTTTATTTTATTTTTATAGTTATTATGTAAGGGGTTGAGTTCTTGATTTGATTCTCAGCTTGGTTGCTGTTGGTGTGTAGGATAGCTACTGATTTGTATACATTAATTTTGTATCTGGAAACTTTGCTGAATTCTTTTACCAGTTCTATGAGTTTTTGGGGGAGTCTTTAGGGTTTTCTAGGCAAACAATTATATCATCAGCAAACAGCGACTGTTTGACTTCCTCTTTACTGATTTGGATGCCCTTTACTTGTTTCTCTTGTCTGATTGCCCTGGCTAGAACTTCCAGTACTATGTTGAAGAGAAGTGGTGAGAGTGAGCATCCTTGTCTTTTTGCAGTTCTCAGAGGGAATGGTTTCAACTTTTCTCCATTCAGTATTATGTTGGCTGCGGGTTTGTCATAGATGGCTTTTATTACATTGAGGCATGTCCTTTGTATGCTGATTTTACTGAGAGTTTTAATCATAAAGGATGCTGGATTTTGTCAAATGCTTTTTCTGCATCTATTGAGATAATCATGTGGTTTTTGTTTTTAATTATGTTTATGTGCTGTATCACATTTATTAATTTGTGTATGTTAAACCATCCCTGCATCCCTGGTATGAAACTCACTTGATCATGGTGTACTATCTTTTTGACATGCTGTTGGATTTTGTTGCTAGTATTTTGTTAAAGATCTTTGCATCTGTGTTCATCAGGGATATTGTTTGTAGTTTTCTTTTCTGGTTATGTCCTTTCCTGGTTTTGGTATTAGGGTGACACTGGCTTCATAGAATGATTTAGGGAAGATTTCCTCTTTCTCTGTCTTGTAGAATAGTGTCAATCGAATTGATACCAGTTCTTCTTTGAATGTCTGGTAGAATTCAGCTGTGAATCTGTCTGGTCCTGGACTTTTTTTTTTGTTGGTAATTTTTTTATTACCATTTCAATCTCACTGCTTGTTATTGTTCTGTTCAGGGTATCTAATTCTTCCTGATTTAAGCTAGGAGGGTTGTATCTTTCCAGGAATTTATCCATGTGATGCTTGCTTTCGTAAGGACTCAGCATGACTCATTTTGGGAGAACTGCTGGACATACAGCACCCTGGGGATGGGGCGGCTATAGCATGGAATGACACACACTTTGCACCTGCGTGTGTTTTCATCCAGACCAGAGCAGGCTGGAGGTGGGGCATGGGAGCAGATGGGAAGAACTGAGAGGTTCAGGAACAGTAAAAACAGAGACCCAGGGGTCCTCTTCGGAGCAGGAGGCCACGGCTGATTTGCTGACATAAGAAAGACAGAAAAGATGACTTACAGACAGAATATTCATAAAAGGACGATTGCAAGCAACCTTTCAAACAGATGACAAGGCTCAAGGAACCTTTCAAACAGATGACAAGGCAGGAGCTCTAGGCAGGAAAAGCCCCCTTGAGCAAAAGAGAAAGAATGGTAGGAGCAGAAAACATGGAAGAGGGAATGAGGATATACAGGGAATGTAAGGGACAGAAAGGAAGAAGGAAATAGTGAGACTATGAACTCTTTAGGAAAAGGAGAGGGTTTCTTCCTTTCTTTTTTTTTTTTTTTTTTTAGATGGAGTCTTGCTCTGTCCGCCCAGGCTGGAGTGCAGTGGTGGGATCTTGGCTCACTGCAACCTCCGCATCCTGGGTTCAAGTGATTCTTCTGCCTCAGCTTCCTGAGTAACTGGGATTACAGACGCCCATCACCATGTCCAGCTAATTTTTGTATTTTCAGTACAGACAGGGTTTCACCATGTTAGCCAGGCTGGTTTCGAACTCCTGACCTCGTGATCCACCCGCCTTGGCCTCCCAAAGTGGTGGGTTTACAGGCATGAGCCACCACACTCAGCCAGGAGGTGGTCTTAAACGAACCAGGCACATGGACAAATTTGTCCTGCGCAGCTTGCTGTGCTCACTCGGAGCGAATTAGATCCAATGCCGCTTGGTGAGTTCTGCTGCTGCGGTTGGCTCAGAGAGCACCCGGCCATGGGGGAGACTCCAGCTCCTTCCCTGCCCAACGCTCCCCAGTGCCTATCTTTGCATGTGCATTAATCATACACGCATGGCACTTCCTGTTTAATCACTTGGCAATTATCTGGTTTATATCTTCTGTTTTCATCTCCTAAACAAGATTTGCCTCATCAGATCTCAAAATTGCATTTGACATGGTAACAAAGAGTTGAATTATTTGTTCCCTACAAATGTAATTATTTACCATGTAATTTTCAGGAAGACACAGCTTCCAAGTGTTCGTATAGAATTTACTATGCAATTATCAGACGTGCTGCCATCCTGCCTCCCAGCTGAAACGGCCGGCAAGGGCAGTATGTCAAGAGGCGAGATCCCAGTGAGCCCTGGGCCAGCTTAGAGACCAGTCTTGTGCACAAAGGTGGCTTCCTGTGAGCTGTCCCTGTGCATCATGGGTGCCTGGGGACGTCATCGAATTTCTCTTTGTGTCCATCTCTTCATGCAGAACATGCAGGGACAAGAAAGAAGGAAGCTTGTGGTGACTAATTAGAAAGAACAAAGAGGAATTAGGAACAAATGCAGTTGTGGTGGTGAAAGATGTTGGTCGTTTTGTTGCAGTTCTCCCTCAGCTTAAATGAGGGAAGAGACAGGGCTCCTAGGAGGGCAGGTGAGTTAGGAGACCCTGTTGCTCACCCTCTCTCAGGAGCACAGGGAGGAGGGACTAAGAAAGCCTGCCTTCGAGGCCAGGAGAAGAGGTGCCCTGGAGCGTGTGAGGAAGCAGCCCGGGGGCTTGGCACTGAAGGACGACAGCCAAAACATCCAAGGAACATGCAGCATGACTTTTAAAAAAGTCCTGGGTAGTTGAAGTTTAGATGCACAAGAAATAAGGTAGGCAGTGGTGGTTATTGACACAACGGATTCCAATGCTCTCATCTAAGCTGTCCCATTAATGGGATTATCAGCTATTATGTAAATCACGGCCTCCAATTTCTTCCTCAGCTCTTTGTCTTCTATTTGGTTCTGTGGGAGTCCCTTTGGTGGTCTCTCTGTGTGTGGTGCACATGTGTGCATGTGTGTGACACAGAAAGTGATATAAACTTGTAGCCCAGACCAGGGACCTCTGAATGCCTGGGTCCCTCATCTGATTCTACCATTTTCTCTTCCCTAACCATTGGACAACAACTTAAGCTCCGTAAGCTTTCTATGTTCCTTTAAAACATCCTTTATGGGAAAGGAGATCTAGGTCAAAATGCTCATTGCTGCATCCAAGAGTTATCAAATATTTCAAAATCATTTTATTATTTCTATATTCAGTTTGTAATATTTTATAGATGGATTTCACAATGTTTATCTCATTCCATAGAAAAAGCAGGTATTGGTCCTCCCCCGGCTTGAACTTTCATTTTTTTATCCTTTCCAGCCTAGGTAAAGTACAACTTGCAAACGTCTGATTGACTGAATGGTTTTCTCTCTTGAATACAAATACTTTTACCACCTTTTTTCCTACCCTTTTATCCCAAATCCCATCATTTCTTACTTGCTACACACTTCCCGCCCCCTCTGAGAAAACACATAACTGGTCTCCCAGCCTGCAATTTTTCACACCTCTGCAATCTACTCTACAATGATGTCTTAGCTATGCCTTTTAGAGACACAGTTATGTAATCCTACCATTCCACGACCTCATCATTTGTTGGCTGATACTGAAGGTCTGAACTGTGCAGTTTGGGATTTGCAACAGTCACTTTCTATTGGCTTCCTCAGTGCCCCACCCTGTCCATCCTTTATTTTTTTCCGGTACCAGGAGGCTAAGTCATCCATTTAGCAGCCACCTGGGCTCTGAGGGCTGCCTATACCAGGCAGTGCTGGCCAATGAGAGGAGCCTGGTGAGGAGCTTGGGGACGGTCTTTTCCTCTCTTTATTAAAAAGTCCCTCCTTTTCTCCTGCTCATCTCTCTTCTTCCCACCTGGTAGGCAGGTGCCTAGGGAGTAGCCACCATCTTGAGGACATGAGGTGTCAGTGACAAGAAGGAAAAGCTACTTCTCCAGGGCTGGTAGATGGGATGGAGAACATAAACATAGGTCCCAGGCAGCATTATCGAGGAGACGAGCCAGCCCCAGACACTGCCCGCCTGGGAATTCTTTTGTTTTTCCTTTAGAGAAATACAGTAAACATTTTTGTGGCCACTCCTGGTTAAGATTTTTTTTGGTGTTGTTGTTGTTGCTTGCAGACAACCTCATACCTCACTGATACACCTTTGAGGTCCCCTGTGGTTCATGTAGGGAGAAACCTGTTACACCACAATTCCCCCACAGAAATTCCATCATTCGGCCAAGAAAGATGGTGACCCAGGTAAACCCCATGAGTTTATGCCTCCACATTTTTGCTCTTTCTTTCTTTCTTTTTATTATGGAGTCTTGCTCTTTTGACCAGGCTGGAATGCAGTGGCATGATCTCAGCTCACTGCAACCTCCACCTCCTGGGTTCAAGTGATTCTCCTGCCTCAGCCTCCCGAGTAGCTGGGACTACAGGCATGAGCCATCACATCCGGCTAATTTTTGTATTTTTAGTAGAGACAGGGTTTCACCATGTTGGCCAGGCTGGTCTTGAACTCCTGACCTCAGATGATCTGCTCACCTCAGCCTCCCAAGTGCTGAAATTACAGGTGTGAGCCACGGCACCCAGCCCATTTTTGCTCTTTTCATTAGACCAGTTGAAACATCTCCCAATCTTGTCTTGTATCTGTCAGAATCCAAACTGTTCTTTAAGGTGTAGCTCAAATGCACCTGTCTTGTGAAATTTTTCTGATTTATCCCTAATGACTATGCTTCTGTCATTCCAAAACCTCATGATACTTTATTTTGATCTCTCTTAAGGAATATGTTATATACGTCTTGTCCTGTGTGAAAGGATTTGTGTATGTATCTATTAATGTTACTAGATATAAGTATCTTGAGGCAGGGTATGTGTGTTTTTTAGCATGGTATCTCATTTAACATTTTGCACTGCTTATGTGTAAATGAAATTTATAGGAAGACCTCTGAGTTAGACTTCTTTGCAAAACCTTCATGCCTTCTTTGGAAAGGGTCAAGAGAGCCTCGTCATTAAAATAAGTTTCTGCACTCATATCAACAGAGAGGAGAAGGACACGCACAGCCCCGCGTCTTGCTAACCTCTCGCACAGGCAGCTTCCTCATAACCATCTGCTCTGAGATCAGTGACACTCTTTCCATCATGTCCTTTTCTTCTTATTTGTGTCATACTCCAAGGATGACCAGATTCCCAGGTCACTCACTGCCTCCCATGCTCAAAAACCTCATGACTCCGGATCTTCCAATGCTTCAAACTTCCCGTGTACCCTCCGGACGTCACAGTGCATGCTAGGACATCTCCCTGTGTGTCCTCCTCTTCTGTCCATGCTCCTTTCCTTCTGTCTCTAAAGGAATTCTGGATCCCCTCCTAAGACATCGCATGCCTGTGGTCATGCCGTGGACCTTGTTGTTACCAATAATTCCCATCCCCCAATCGCAAGTTCAAGCTTTTCACTGGTTACCTCCCCATCTCCTCCTTCCAGCCCTCTCCCCGGTACCCTTTCCCCACAGTCCATGTCTTTGGGAGCTAAAAGTATGGGCTCTGTCACTTCGGCTCTGTCTCCATGGTTAACCATCACAATCACCCTCCTACCCTGCTCTCATTTTATCTGACATGATTAGATGCCTTGGAAAACGACAAGCACGGTTAAATCTGCCTCCGCTTACTCCATACCTGCTCCCGTACAGCCAAACATAGGATGAGAAAAAACTCACGAGCTCTCTGGATGATCTAACTTGAGATTCGTAACCACAGACTTAGCAAAAGGACATTCCTCCCGTTTATTCACACTGTCATTATCCTCAAACTCTCTTTCATATTTCCTTTTCATAACCTCCAAAAGCTCATCTTCCAGCGTTGCCCTCAGTTGATCTGGCTTCCAATTTTGCCTGGATAATTGAAGGAATCATAGAAGAATTTCTAAGAGCTCTTCACTCTTTGTAAGCTACTCAGCTGCCAAGCTGGGTCCCCAGGTATCTACTTTCTCTCCTCTTGCTAGAGATCAATGCTTCACAACCTGACTGCAAATTACAAACACCTAGGAACTTTTATAAACACAAGCGCTCCTGCCACACCCCAAGTCAATTATGGCAGACCATCTGGGAGTGGCTTTCAGCTTTCAGAACGTTTTAGAATCCTCTAAACAATTCCACTGTTCACCTAAGATTGGCAGCCTGTGCCATAGACCAGTGGCTATCGAAATGTGGGCCCCATATCAACACTGTCACCATCATTTAGGAATAGGTTAGAAATGCAAATTTTCTGGGCCTCCATTTTCCCAGCAAAACTATTTTAAAGAATTGCTTATTCTTCGTAGAAACAAAGTAGAAAGGTGGTTGCTGGGGGCTGGGGTGAGGGGAAATGGGGAGTTCTTTAATGGTTACAGAGTTTCAGTTTTACAAGACGAAAAAGTTCCGGAGATTTCTTTCACACCAATGGGAATCTATTTAATGCTACTGAAGGCTACAGTTAAAAATCATTAAGATGGTACATTTTATATGGTGTGTTTTCTTTTTATCACAATTAGAATTTTTAAAATAAAAATTAAATAATGAAGAATTTCCCGTCTGTGTCCTCTCCAGTAGTTTTGCACTCATTCTCTTTTAAATGCTCTCCTCTGTGCCTTCCTTCTTTTTTTCTTTCTTTTTTTTTTTTTTTTAAACAGAGTCTCCATCTTGTTGCCCAGACTGGAGTGCAGTGGCTCGATCTCGACTCACTGAAACCTCCATCCCCTGGGTTCAAGCGATTCTCCTCTCTCAGCCTTCCGAGTAGCTGGAATTACAAGGGTGTGCCACCACGCCCGGCTAATTTTTTGTATTTTTAGTAAAGATGAGGTTTCCCCATGTTGGCCAGGCTGGTCTCCAACTCCTGACCTCAGGTGATCCGCCCACCTCGGCCTCCCAAAGTGCTGGTATTACAAGCATGAGCCACCACGCCCGGCCTCCTGTGTGCTTTTCTTTTCACAGATCACGAAACCTGCTTTGGCCAAGTTTGGCAATGATCTCTGTATGTTGAACTCCACAGTGCTCCTGGGCTCTCCCACTCTACCGGGCAGGCCAGCAGCAGGCGGTGCAGTCAATTACTCCTCCTCCCCGTCTTTGCCTTGGATTTGTACTCTCCTGATGTTTCTCTGCCGTAAATCATTTCGGTTTCTCAATCCTCTGTGCCTCTCTACCTCCAAATTTTGGACTGTCCAGCTTTCAGTCCTGGAGTTTTTCTCATCTGCACTCACTCCTTGAATGATTTTGTTACTGGTGGAGACTGTCCAGGTTCTTGGCATTTTGAACAAATAATTGGACAAAACACACTAAAGAAGGAAAGGACGAAGCAACACAAGCAGAGATTTATTGAAAACAAAAGCACACTCCACAGGGTGGGTGCACCCAGAGCAAGTGGCTCAAGAGCCCAATTACTCTTGAGTTTCTGTGGGGTGTAAATACCCTTTGGAGGTTTCCCATTGGTTACTTGGTGTACCCCCTATGTAAATGAAGTAGTGCCCAGGATCACTCTGATTGGTTGTGGGAGGGGACCAATCAGAGGCTGAAGTGAAGTTACAAAGTCACACCCTATGCAAACATCTGATTGGTTGCAGAAAGTGACCAATCAGAGGCCGAAGTGAAGTTACAAAGTTATACTCCTATGCAAATGGAGACCTGGCCAGAGACCAGTCTGATTGGTTGTGGGAGGGGACCAATCAGAGTTACTTTCAATTTTTCATCTGCCAGGCGTGGAGAGTGGGGGTTTTCCTTTTGATTTAGTTCTAGGAAGTCAGCATGAACCTGCCTTAGTTTCCTGCCTCCAGACTCTCTTCTCCTGACTCAGTTTCATCAGGCCCCAGGTCTAGTCTCCAGCTGTAAAAAGCCTGACGCCTCCCTGATGTGTCTGCCTGGCTCAGCCCTGCTGAGCTCCAGAATTGCTTTTCTGATCTGCCTGAAGCCTCACTTGATGAGTAGTAGACGTCAAACCCAACAGTTCCTGAATGGACTTTCTGAATTCTGTCCTCTTTATCTAGAACCAGCCTTCTAGTTCCTTAAGACAAAATATGTAGCATCATCTTTACTGTTGAATTTGTCAAAAAATTTTGCTGGTTGTGTTTTGAAGATACACCCAGAGTCCAGTCTCTTCTCACCCCATCTGCAGAATAGCCTCACTCTTGTCTGAACCACCTTCCTCTCTCACCCTAATTACAGCATTTCTCAGAAGCCAAATGGATTTCTTCCCAAATTGCTGGCGTCCTCATTTTGCTCGGAGTAAAACCCTTAAAGAGGCCTTCTAATGTGCAGGCCCCTGATAGCTTTCACACAGCACCCCTCCCCATCTCCTCCCCAACCTTGCTAACTGCACTTCCAACACACCCGCCCCGCCCGCTTTAGGGTCTTGACAACCGGTCCCTCTGCATTAAATGCCTTTTCTAATTATCTTCATGGCTCGCTCGCTGCTTCTCCTCCTTCAAGTCTTTGCTCAGTTGTTAATTGTCTCAGCGAGACTTTCCCTGGCAACCTGATTTAAAATTGCAACACCAATCCCAACATTGCCTATCTCCTTTGCTATATTTTTCACGTAGTATTGACTATCTTCTAATGAACTGTTTGAGTTTTCTTTTCTATCTGGTCTTTCCCACTAGAATTAAAGCTCCCTGAGGACAGGGACTTTCTGGGGTTTTGTTTCCTGCTGTAGTCTGGGACTTAGAGCAGTACCAAGGTCAAATCAGGGGCTCAATGTCTATTTGTTGAAAGAATGGACAGAAAAGTAAATGTACAATAACGAAAATGGAATAAGCCCTTCTATAAGCCCAACTTAACTTACTTTGGAGAAAGGTAAACTAGAAAACTGTGCCCCAGCTTCTATGAAGCAATTGAACATGAGTGCCTTGGTCTTCCTTTTTTCTTTCTTTTCTTTCTTTTTTTTAAATAAAGAAAAAGAGTTATAACAGACTCACAGTTCCATGTGGCTAGGAAGGCCATACAATCAGAGTGGAAGGTGAAAGGCACGTCTTACACTGGCAGCAGGCAAAGAGAGAATGAGAGCCAAGTAGAAGGGATTTCCACTTATAAAACCGTCAGAACTTGTGAGACTTATTCACTACCACAAGAACAGCATGAAGAAAACCGCCTGGTCTTCCTTTTTCTATATGAGTGAGGTGGACTTTCTGTCCTGTGATTAGCTGATTAAGATGACGTCCCTAGCTTGGGTGAAAGAGATTCCTCAGCTGATATTCCTTTTATGGGACTTACTCAAATATTACTGACAATGTTGTAGGGGAACCAAACAAAAAACCTGAGGACCACACTATCATTTTTGCTCTGTTTACCCAGGAAATTGCTACAGAGCCATGCTAGTTTCATCTCTATTCTTTTTGCACACACACATTTCCTCTGTGTGGAAATATTTGCTTTGGATGGGAGAACTTAGATGAGAAAACAACACTTTATCAATCCATTCACTCAGATGTAACATTTAGCCTTGTCAAGAAAATAAATAATCATATATATATATATATATAACCTCAAATGTTAAAAGCCTCAAGTAGTGGAGAGGATCAGAACTCCTTTCCTCTCTCTCTCTCTCTCTGTGTGTGTGTGTGTGTGTGTGTGTGTGTAGTTATGCATGTCACTTTTAAAAAACGCATCCTTTATTCCATTAGCAGCTGTACGTGTTAGACACCTTTGATTTTTAACAATGTCACATTCAGGAAGACAAAGTCTTCAAACATATTATATTTGGTTAGCAAACATAAAAAGCTGTGAGATAGGATATAATGCAAACTATTTTCAAATTGGGTCCAGGAATTAGAGTGACAGAGGGAATGAATTCCAGATTTGAAGAGCAAACATTACATGTGGCGTGCTCATTGTTGGCTGACTTGATTAGATCAAATGCCATAGTTTTATGCACAGTTTAAATATTGAGCTTCAGCTCTATTCTTTTGATTAAACTTGTTTGCTTGTCTGTGATGATTAAATAAGGGTTAATAAATATAACCTTTGTTTAATCTATTGTAACCAAATTTCTCTCTCTTCCTTTATTGGAGAAATAATAGCTCAAGGTATATCTGCAAATTGAGACTATCAGAAATAATAGCTAAAGGCAGATATGTGAATCATAATTTATAAACTTGAGGATGGGACATACCTTTCTATGCAGTGCTGCTTATAACAACAAAACACTAGGTATAATCTAAACTCCCAAACAACAATACGATCATAAGAAAGTACAAAATTCTTTGAAAAGACAAAATGATATATTAAATGAGGAAATTAGGTTTATAAACATGACATCATTTTATTTTTGTAAAATAATCTATTCATTTTACCAAAGAATAAATATGAATAATTTTGACAATAAAATGCCAAAATTAGTTATCTTTTTGTAGTTAATAACAGATTATTTTTACAGTTTAATTTTTAAAATAATTTTATTATTAAAATTTTTTAAAAGGGCATAATTTTTTAAACCTTTATGGAAACATTTCCATAAAGGTACTTGCCTATTGGGTGAAAATAATAGTTTTAACGGGAATCATCTTAGCTCAGATTTCTGGTTCTATTACTGACTGTATTTCTTGATGGTAATAACCTAATCATTGTAATCTGCAACAATATTCCCAAGACTTTAAATAAGTTTGTGTATAATTATTGACTGGGAAAGGACATCATAACCCAGCAAGACAACCGGTCTTCCGTGATGTGAGCCTGGTCTAATTCTGCCGGACGCCCCGTTACCCGGACAGCGCTATTCCTCGCAAGGGCTTGTAGCTACTTTGTAGTATTGGAAAAGCAAACCCTGGGGTCTAGGGTTACTTTTCTGTCAGGTAATGGAAGGTCAGAGTCTCTCTGCAGAAGCAACAAAGACTGTTCCTGTTACTGGATAATTAATGTGCAGATCGTCTCTCTGAATGGCCTTGGAAAGGAATTATCTGTAAAAGAAAAGACTTAATCATCTCAGGGAATTCTAGCAGCATCTCAGTCCAATCCCAAGTGGATCATCCTTCCTACAACAAAGCTAGAAATGGATGCAGCGACTCTCTAAGAAGACTTTTACGACAAATATGCAATTTTTTTCCCAGAAAGTTATGTCTCTATTTTCCACTTGTAACCTTTATTTAATATATGCCTTTGTATAGGCATTTTGTTTAATTTCATTTTCTTTGCTTTTTTCTTCTTTTTCTCCTTCTACTGTGCTTTATCTTCATTATTATTTTTAAAAACAAATAAAATGTTAAAACCATGACATATTTTCGTAGAACAAAAATAGATAATGTGAACTAACAATATTCAGAGTGAAGGATTAGTCAGACAAACGACCAATGATGCTATTACTATTAATATATTACATTTAAAATATTCACTTTTCTTTGAATCGTTAGTAGCTTACAAAAATTAAAATAACAAACATCTAAGGATCAAAAATATTGAAAAATAATTGTCTATACTAAACACATATACATTTTTTTCTTGTTATTGTTTCCCCAAATAATACAATGTAACAACTGCTTACATACCATTTACATTTCATTAGCTATTATAAATCAGGCAATGACTTAAAGTACAGGGGAGAATTGCATAGGTTATGAGCAAATACTACAACATTTTATACCAGGGAATTGAACATCCACAAATTTTTGGATACCAAGGGATGACTCTGTGTGTGTGTGTGTACACACACATACATAACACATTTTATCTCTATATACATAACACACTATATATATACATATATACACACACATATATATAACGTGTATATATAGGTACATATACTATGTATAGTTGTATATTTACTATATATACAACTATATATATAGTTGGGTCCAGGAATTAGAGTGACAGAGGGAATGGATTCCAGATTTGAAAAGCAAACATTACATGTGGCATGCTCATTGTTGGCTGACTTGATTAGCTCAAATGCTATATTTTAATGCACAGTTTAAATATTGATCTTCAGCTCTATTCTTTTGATTAAACTTGTTTGCTTGTCTGTGATGATTAAATAAGGGTTATATATATAGTTATATATACTATATATACATAGATATCATATATAGTTATATATACATATGTAGTTTATACATAGTTTATATATAGTTATATATATAAACTGTATGTAATATTAGTATATACTATATAATATATAGTATATAATATTAATATATACTATATAATATATAGTATATACTATATATATATAGTTTTTCCCAATACATATCATGGGAGAAAAACTTAAAGCTGAAAAATAATTATATATGAGCAATAATTTTTCTCAATAAGCTGGAAAACTACCTGCTTTTAAAATATATAACATTTCAGAAAATGTTACTAGCAGAGCACCATTGTTTCATGGAAACTTAGTGTTGGAATCAATTTTGCATGAAATATGCTAAAAATTCTGCAAATGCTGCTCTTTGTCCCTGAGATAAAAAGGCTTGGTTTGTTTCTGAGAGGGAGAACTGGGAGAGGAGGTAGGGATTCTGGGAGACTGAGGAGGAGGCTTGGTTTGTTTCTGAGGGAGAACCGGGAGAGGAGGTAGGGATTCTGGGAGACTGAGGAGGACACCTGCAGGAAACTATAAGCAGAAGATCCCATTAGAGATGCAGGTCTCAACCTTGGCCGGCAGAGATGCAACCCACCCGTGGACTAGTCAAATCCATCTCAGGAGCAACTGAAATTCATACCAAAGTCTCACGGGACGCTACCTGACCGGAATTAGGTGTCCGTATGCAGCAGACTGCACACAGACGGCAATCATCCATGTGTGTTTTCTCCTCCTTCCCCTTCCTTTCTTCTGTAAGCAGGGTCGTGTCCAGATGCTCAACAAGAAGCTATCTGATTCCTTTTCGCAAACTCGACCCTTGCCTATGGAATATATTCCATCTATTAGTAAACAGTGTGCTTGTCTATCCCAGCACAGAGGGATCCAGGCATCTAATGACATTCCTACATCTTACGCACCTCAAAGTAGCTTCAGATAACAATGGCTAAGACATTTAGTATTTCTTGAATCAACATATCTTTGAAATATTTTGTAATATTTGATACATACAAAAGCATGTGTATGTGTGTGTTAATATGTGTATGTCTGTATATGTGTGTATACATGTGTACGTGTGTAGATGTGTATGTGTGTGCATGTATGTATTTCTGCATATGTGTATAGGTGTGTGCAAGTGTGTATATGTATGTGTGTGCATGTGTGTATATATGTGTGTATGTGTGTGCGTGTGTGTATATGTGTGCAAGTGTGTATATGTATGTGTGCATGTGTGTATGTGTGTATATAGGTATGTATATGTGTGCATGTGTGTATATAGGTATGTATATGTGTGCATGTGTGTATGTGTGTATATATGTGTATGTGTGTGCATGCATGTTTGTGTGTGCATGTGTGTATGTGTATATATGTGCATGCATCCATTAATGTGTATGTGTATATGTGCATATGTGTGTATATGTGTATGTGTATATGTGTGCATATCTGTATTTGTGTATGTGTCTATATATGTGTGAGTGCACGTGTGTGCGTGTGTGCGTGTGTGTGCGTGTGTGCACGTGTGTGTGTGTGTGTGTGTGTGTTGGGAAGCACAGCACTATACTGAATGCCTGCAAATGCACTGCGCAGGGAAGCGGTAGAACATCATCACCTCTATTACAGAAACAGATGTAATTTCCATCTTTTCCTCTCCATGCCCTGGGTCCCCCAGGTGATGACCACCACCTGGAATTTAGTTTGTGTATACTATGGGCTAAATTGTGTTCTCCCAAAATTCATCTCTTGAAGTCTCGACTCCTAGTACCTCAGAATGTGACCATATTTCAGATAAAATGTTTAAAGAGGTATTTGAATTAAAATGTGGCTGTTAGGCTAGGCTTCATCCATTCTGACTGATGTTTGGGGGATAAGAGGACGAGACACCAGACATTCACACAGAGAAAAGACTGTGTAAGTGCACAGCCGCCTGCAAGCCAAGGAGACAGGACCTAGGAGAAGCCAATCCTGCCGCTCCTGAGGCCGGGACTTCCAGCTCCAGAACAGTGAAAACATCCGTTTCTGTTGTTGATGCTGCCATCTGTGGTATTAATTATGGCAACCCTAGGAAACAAATATGGCACTATACTATTTAGTTTTGTTTATATTTGACCTTTCAAAAATGCCATAGTTTTCTGAGACATTTTTTTACTCGGTGTTTTGTTTTGAAAACTCAGTTTTGGAATTATGAACAGCTGAAGTTAATGCATTTTTCCTGATATGGAATTGTACACTGTTTCAATGTACCAACACTAAGCCTTCATTTACTGATAGATGTTTGGGTTATTTTCTATTTTCTCTTTTTCTTTTTTGAGGCGGAGTCTCGCTGTCTTGCCCAGGCTGCAGTGCAGTGGTGTGATCTCAGCTCACTGAAATTGCCTCCCGGGTTCAAGCGATTCTACTGCCTCAGACTTCCGAGTAGCTGGGATTAAAGACATGAGCCACCATGCCTATCTAATTTTTGTATTTTTAGTAGAGATGGAGTTTCGCTATGTTGGCCAGGCTGGTCTCGAATTCCTGACCTCGTGATCCACCCATCTCAGCCTCCCAAAGTGCTGGGATTACAGGCGTGACCCACCACGCCCGGGTTATTTTCAATATTTCTGCTCTTCCCAATGCTGCTGCTTTGAACTTTCTTGTCCACATACCCTGGCACGTAGGTGGAATGTTTTTGTAGGATCTGCAGATGGTGAAATCTTGCTCCCACACAATTGCTAGGCAGCTGATTGGTTCAATGGTTTACGTAAGTAGAGGTTTGTTCTCTGTCACGTTTTTGCTTTAACTGGTGGCTCCATCCTCTGGCTGTTGGTCTTTTCTGTAGATTGGATGAAATCGGGTTCACGTCACATCTAGTGACCTGCCTTCGGGAAAAAATAAAAAGCTCAAATGAGAGAAAGTGGCTCCTCTTTCAGCTGGAGATGGCTTAGGCATTTCACTTTTGTTCAAATCCTCTTGGCCCAAATGACTTGCATTGCCGCTCCCAGCCGAAGGGAAGCTGCAAATGTGGATTCTAGGTGAGCCATGAGGTAGATGTGGGAGGAGCAATTGGGTACATTGATCACAGCAACCAGATACACACTTAAAAAAAAGTGTATCTAAAACATGGAGAGTTCACTTAATTCTTAAGAATCACCTCAAGGAAGAACTTTTCTTCAGATGGTATAAAAGCTCTTGACTACATCACTGAACAATAACCAGGCTGTAAATAACAGTCTTTAGGATTTATTTTACCTTCTGTTTGTCTGTAGAATAGAACACTTTGTGGGAGGGGCTTTGTCTCCCGATTTGCATTCTCCAGTCATTGCCCACTACATTAACTATAAAGTCCTAAACTCTCCAGATTTGCAAAGGAGGGAGCAGTTGTCCTTCAGGGGTGCCTTCTCCCTTTCATCAGCAGAACGCCTGTCCACCTGACTTCCTTTATTGACTTACCGTGCTGAATGCTGATATTGTCAGCTACTAAATTCACGTGCCTGATTTTAGCATCTAAGTTTTGTGTAATACTTAACACAAAACATTCTCTTTTATACTATTTTGTCTTATTCCCCAATTTTTTTGAGATTGAAAAGACCATTTATTTTTATAAATGAAGAAGCATCTCAGATACTCTCACAAACTACTTAGTTTATTTAGTTGGTATAAAAAGCTAAAACAACAAAGGAAGTTGATGTTTCCTGGTACCAAATCTAGAAATTATCCCACACAACTCCTGTGTTTAAGCAACACATACAAAGATTTTCTGGGTCCATAAAATGAAAGTATTGATTTTTTTCAAAAACGAGATAAAATGGGAAAATAATGAAAGTAGAAACAATAACACCTATCTGGAGACATCCAATGCTTTCTCATATTTTAGATATTATCTCTTCCACCCTCTACTTGGTAGCTGTGATTGGGTGATTGATGATGGAAGAGAGGAATATAGATGAGAAGTTAGTGCTGAAACTTTTCTCCTCTCCCCAGTGCTAAAATACACCATGCGCTGTGTGTCAGGTGGTGGGAGGTAGGTGGGGGAGGGGCAGGCTCCTCTGTGCAATGTGTAGAGGGCAGGAGTTATTGTGTGGTCTGGCTCTCTGCACGCCCAGCCATTGCTTTAGTTAGAGCAGTTACGTGGGAAACCATGGATCTACCCCAAAGAAAATACTCACATATGTTTAGGGACAAGTGTGACCATCTTGTCATTATATCAAAAACATTGCCTGTGTGTATGTGTGTGTGTGTGTGTGTGTGTGTTATTTTTCTTGATAAAAGGGACCATACATTTCATCCAGTCTATGTAGATTATTGACCTGATAAAAATTAAGATCTTTTATGATTTTATTTTCCCTTCTTTGAGCATTATTTTAGCACAGGCATGCTGAAAGGCAAGAAAAAACACAGCCAGAAGACACCAAGTACTCAAAGGTGACTCAGATGTTGAAGTTGTCATACAAGAAATGGGTATCAGGTACAATAAATAATAAATAAAGGACTTCGAGTGCAAGGCACACAGGGTCCAGAGATATTTGAGATCTCGGGAAGAGTGACATAAAGGTCAGGGAGTTTATAATTCAGGAAGAACACATAATACATGGAGTTTCTCACACTGGAGCTAGTCCACACTCAGCCTCCAGCAATCCAGCAAAGTGCCCACTCGAAGGCCTCTACCCATGATAGTCCAGAGTCTTCTGCTCCAGGTGAGCAGGTATGGGGTGTCTCTTGATTTCCAGATGGTGAATGGCTCTGAAACCTCAGTTTTCCGATGGGTCCAAGGAAGTCACTGATTTTTAATGCATCCAGCTTTTTTTTTTTTTGTGCCGAGGGCTGCTGTGACAGCTCCAATACATTGGAGTCAAAAGCAGAAGATCCGATTTTGAATCTCTGTGAGACACAGACAGCCCCAGCCTTTTCCAGCCATCCTGGGATACTCTGTGCACAGCTGCTGTTGGAGTTTGGAAACTGACCCATTTTCGGCTCTTGTTCTTAAGGTGGTTGCCATGGCTTCCAGGGGGGAATCTGGGGGCTGTCAGGTTCATCTGATGCCCAGAGCCTCCTCTGCCCTCTCGACACAGTTGCTAAACCTTGCAGGATTTGAGGTTGCTGCTCTTTCCATCTGCTGTATTTGGGGGTTTGACACTTAGGTCTGTTGTAGCTGCTGCCCGTGGATATAACGTTTTGGTATTCTAGTTCCTCTCTCATTGTCTGGGGAGAAACGGATCGATACAAAAACCAAATGGCAGCTGCTGCTTCTGTTTTCCTAGACTCTCCGACTATTTGTATTTTAATAGGTGTCTTCGAGGATCAAGAAAACTTCAAGAGTCAAAGGAATTGTTTAATTTAATACCACACACCTGATCATTAGAGAAAAGCATTTGGGGAGACCACGGGATATCCTTCCATTGCAGTTTTTGTTGCCTAACTCCTCAGTCCACTCCTGAGCCCAGCCTGCACTACAGAATAAGGGCCTAGTGCTCCTGGAAAGGGTACCTGTCTATTCCTTTTGTATGTAAATGATTTTAGGTCATTCTGACCTGATTTTATGCACTGGTATTCTTTTCTGACGTTTCTCTAATTTTGATTGTTCGTGTTTTTCTAAGCCAGAGTAAATGTTCCCCAGAGATGGAAGACATAAAGCTTGTCAAAAAGTCTGTGTCTGATTCATCGGCTGACCTTACTGTTCTTTGTACAGTTCTACCCCCCGCCATGGGTTCTCAATAAATATTAATTGAATTGAATTGAATTGAATTTACACTTTGCTCATTTCACAAATAGAGCAGACTGAATTAAAGAATATCTGTGTATATCTGCAGTGTCCTGAATTGGCACCATAAAAATCTCTTACTTTGGAAAAATCTATAGTTATGGGAAAAATTGTTCTTAACACCTCACCTATACTTGCTCGTAGAAGCAGCTGTGAGCATGTATACACAATTCTTCATTTCCCCTCAGCAGCAGGCAGTTGCAAAAAATTCCTTAAGGACTTAACAATTTCTCTATATTATTTTCTAATTAATTTTTGGCAAGAAAACAAGGTGAAGACAGACATGGCAATACCATAAATTAGAAATGTAAGGCTATGCATGAAACAATCCACTGAATTTCCTCTTAGGTCAGAGGTTTCTGTGTAAAATGTACAGCTATAGGTGTCTGACTTTCTTTTTCTTACTTTGATTTATGCCTTTCTACAAATGAAGCGAAGGATGAAACACAGGCTACCGCTGACTGGTGCACATCTAAGTTTTATAAAGACCCTTTTCAGTCTGAAGCTACTAGAATTTTTTTATTCCCCTGAAAAGAAATGGACTTGGCTTACCAAAATACCACCCTTGGAAGAGCCACAGAAATGCAGTACTAAGAACAGTTTTTTTTTTTTTTTTGAGATGGAGTCTCGCTCTGTTGCCCAGGCTGGAGTGCAGTGGCATGATTTCATCTCACTGTAATCTCTGCCTCCCAGGTTCAAGCAATTCTCCTCCTCAGCCTCCCAAGTAGCTGGGATTACAGGTGCTTGCCACCACACCTGGCTAATTTTTTGTATTTTTAGTAGAGACAGGTTACACCATGCTGGCCAGGCTGGTTTCAAACTCCTGACCTCAAGTGATCAGCCCTCCTCGGCCTCCCAAGGTGCTAGGATTACAAGCATAAGCCACCATGCTCAGCCACTAAGAACATTTTTTAAATTGTTAGGTAGCATTGTTTTATTTTTTTTGAGATGGAGTTTCGCTCTTGTTGCTCAGGCTGGGGTGCAATGGCGTTATCTCAGCTCATTGCAACCTCCACCTTCTGGGTTCCAGTGATTCTCCTGCCTCAGACTCCCAAGTAGGTGGGACTACAGGCATGTGCCACCACACCCTGCTAATTTTGTATTTTTAGTAGAGATGGGGTTTCACCATGTTGGTCAGGCTGGACTTGAACTCCTGACGTCAAGTGATCCACCAACCTAGGCCTCCCAAAGTGTTTGGATTACAGGCGTGAGCCACTGTGTCCAGCCCTAGGTAGCAATTTTTAATCTATCCTTATTCAATTTCCTACACTTAGTTTCCTCTTATATTTATGAGCTTATAGTCCCAGCGGTTTGAGAGACTGAGGTGGGAGGATTGCTGGAGACCAGGAATTCAAGCCTGCAGTGCACTATGACAGCATCTCTGAATAGGCTGGACAACATAGTGAGACTCCATCTCTACAAATACGTAAATACATAAATAAATACATTTCAAAAATGCAAACATCTTACTTCTCAAATCCCCAAAACTTCCTAAACTGGATTGCCCTTTTCCTCACTTCCTCCGTAAATATGCCTTGTGAAAAGTGGTCTGTGATCAGGCATAAATTGGGAAAAATGTGTTGTATCATGATTTTGTAAGTTACTAATCCACGTTAATATTTAAAGTTTGAAACGCTTGACAGAAAAGATGTGATGATTTTCCTACTACTTGAAGAGTGAACACTTTATCAGGAAATGTAGATTGCAATTTCATGCAGCTGTCATTGGCCAGTTTGGGAAATGTTTTCTAGGGGCAAAGGACTCCTGCTTCCATGAAGTCATTAATTCTAAATGCAACGCTGAGCAATAATTTAACCGCTCTCTAATTTCAACTGGGAAATTCACACCTCAAGACTTTGAGACTCAGTAACTTTGCCTGGCCAAATCCTATTTATCTCTTTACACTCTATTTGGTGTCCCATATACTATTCTATACTGGAGACGTGACTTGAAGAAGTACCCTGTCTTGGCTCTTCCTCCCAACCCTTAAACAGTTCTAAACAATAAACATTCATTATTAATGGAATATCTTTTTAAATAAAATGTTGAAATCACAAAACGATGTCCTAATGAGAGGGATTGTGTGTTTTGCTTTCCTACCTTGGCATAGGAAAGAAAGAATGACTAGCTATAAAAATAGTGATTTAATCCCTTAGAAAACTGGGCTTGGCTTCGGACACTTTAGGAAGTACTGGAGGTAAAGTTGACTCTGGCTAAATTCTCCATATTTTCGCTGGCTAATTTCATAAGTGAAATTGATTGAGAAGTATTGCACAATAAGAGAATTCTAAAAACTTTGCTCTGATTGAGATAAATATAGGGATAGGTATAGATACAGATGATTTGGCCGGGCACGGTGGCTCATGCCTGTAATCCCAGCTCTTTGGGAGGCCGAGGCGGGTGGATCCCGAATCGTGGTCAGGAAATCGAGAACATCCTGGCCAACATGGTGAAACCCGTCTCTACTAAAAATACAAAAATTAGCTGGGTGTGGGGGCACGTGCCTGCAATCCCAGCTACTCGGGAGGCTGAGGCATGAGAATCGCTTGAACCCAGGAGGCGGAGGTTGCAGTGAGCCGAGATCGCTCCACTGCACTCCAGCCTGGCGACAGAGCGAGACTCCATCTCACAAAAAAGATATAGATGATTTATTATAGAAACAGCAGAATATAGAGGTCTTGTATTTCCTTCTCAGAAACCTTATAGAAATATATAGAAATAGAAAAAGCCTTATAAATTCTCTGTAGAATGCAAAAATGAACATAGCAATCCTAGTTAATATTAAATTATAATGAACTTGCAACTGGAAATGTGCATGAGTGTTTTCTAATATCCCTTGTTCTCACATCTGAAATGGGAAAGATTTATCAGTGCTCAAAGACATGTCTATTGAACAATATGGCTTTAATTCTTTACTACCTTCATATTAAACGTGAGGCATGACAAAATGACCTTATTTCTGGATTTTTCTTGAGCTGATCTTGAGGCTGTGGTTTTATTGCTTCTTTCAGTTCTGATAATTCAGCATTACTTCAGGCAATGATTTTAGATCTGAGTCTATTAACTCTCCCCACAGTCCTTACTGACTAGACAATGGACATGTGGCATCTCACTCAGTCCTTACGCGAGAGATCTCTGAGTATCAGGAGGGTTGCTTCTCTTCAACTTGGTGTTTTATTTATTCAATACACATTCAAAGATGTGTTGAATAAATGTATTCAGATATGTGATACTAAATCATTACATGTTCAGATATCTTTGAGTCTTCGTAATTATGTTCTGTGTTGGCCAATAATAGAAGAGAAGGAGAATCCTTTCCTCCAACGAAATCTCAATCTAATGAAGAGGAAATAACACTCCAGTAGAAATAGGAACATCTTGCTACAGAAACAGATGAGGTCACCTGGCTCGGTATCGGGAAAGACTTTTCCAAGGAGGCAATAATTCATCTAAATGTCAACAGATGAAGGCACAATCTAGATCGAGAGGGGAAGTGGGTACAGATGAAGGCACGATCTAGAAGGAGAGGGGAAGTGGGTGTTCCCAGTACGGGAGGAAATGTCAGAGACATGGAGATGGAGTGAGTGTGGCTCCTCGCTCAGAGGGACTGCAAGGCCTGGTCACATGGTAGGACCCTATCGTTAGAGCAGAGGCTGTGAAGAGTGATGTAGGATGGGCTGAGAGGTGT
Source organism: Homo sapiens (assembly GCF_000001405.40). NCBI lineage: Eukaryota > Metazoa > Chordata > Mammalia > Primates > Hominidae > Homo > Homo sapiens. The sequence continues at coordinate 2,747,065 of NC_000010.11, read as the reverse complement.
AGGGACTAAATGACCAAACTATGGGTAATGCACTCAGACCTGCATTGCAGAGAGACCAGTCCCAGGTTTCTGAACTTTAAATAATGCAAAAAGTAAACCATATAAAAACAATATTAAAAGAAGTCAAGAAAATTAAATTGGGGGAAAACTTTCTAAAAAGGGAGATCACCAATATTCCAGTAAGATCTATCATTTAAGTGAAATGAGAACAATAGGTGCATAGGATGACGTCATCAGGAGTAACGCTGTTACAACGAAAGTGCACACACCGACTGTTCATGGAATGGTGAGAACGGCTGTGTTCTCAGGACTCTGTCTCTTCCAGGCCCAATATTTGCAAGGGAAAGGAATCTCCAAACTTCTTCCCTGAACGTGGACAGCAGGGAGCTGCCGATCTTTGCAAACTCGGGTCAATAGATGAACCATTTCCAGGAATGCAACCTGCTTCTCTTGGATGAATGAATGTCCCAGTAGCCTGGCCCTATATGTATAAAGAAATAGATAAAGAAAAAGATTTGTAGAAATCCAATATACCTTAGTTTCCTCAATTGTAAAATGTGGGTGGTCAAGTTACTCATCTTGGAAAGTCCTTCTGAGGATTCAATGGGCTAATTCCCATGAAGCACTAAGAACATCACCTGACTTGGCAGAAGCCAAATGAGTGCTGGTTATTAGTGTTAGCAGTAACATTGCCATTGTAAATGAGGAAAATAAAAGGCAAATAACCTTCTATAAATTAATATTTAGTCTTAGAAGTATCATCAACAGAAGCAGAATGAATCTTCCATTTGTTCTACCATTGTGTAGACGTTAGTTATGTTTGATCTTTAGAGCTGACATCCCTATTATAATGAAATAATTTCAGGAAAAACTTTTCCATAAAACAGTAGAAGAAAATGAATAAAAGAAAGAATGAAGAGAGAAAGATCAGCTATTGATGGAAGGCAACATTTTTCATGTCAAGAATAAACAGTCCAGGGAGTCAAGTCCTCTGCCTAGGAAGATTATTAAAATTCTCAATGAGCTTGTAGCATCTTAAACCATTTCAAATAACCATCTGTGGAAAATCACCGAGGTAGTTGCGTGTTATGCTAGTTTCTGGCAAAGCGGGAGGAACTTCAGTGTGTGCACAATGACACATAAGGGGAAGGCTGTCATCTTTAAGGAAAAAGTATTCTAAGTGACACTCTGTCAGAGATTTGCTGTGTTGTTTGTACAGTGGATGTCAAAAAAACAAGCAAGGTACATGTCTCTATTTCTTCCTGATGCAATTGATTACAGAACGTATTGATAGTTTTTAAATGAGTGGTCCACTCTGGATTTTCTGGTTTGGGTTTTCTTAAAAATATTAAAACAGCAAATTTCAGACTGGGATATTTTTTAGTGAGTCAACGTAAAAAAAAGTATGGTTAATATTAAAAATACACATCATGGCCAGGCGCGGTGGCTCATGCCTGTAATCCCAGCACTTTGGGAGGCCAAGGCAGGCGAATCACAAGGTCAGGAGATTGAGAGCATCCTGGCCAATGTGGTGAAACCCTGTCTCTACTAAAAATACAAAAATTAGCTGGGTGTGGTGGCACGTGCCTGTAATCCTAGATACTCAGAAGGCTGAGGCAGGAGAATCACTTGAACCAGGGAGTCGGAGGTTGCAGTGATCTGAGATCACGCCATTGCACTCCAGCCTGGCGAGAGAGTGAGACTCCTTCAAAAACAACAACAAAAACAAAACAAACAAACAAAAAAAAAACACATCCGGGTTTAGTAGGTGATTTTTTAAAACCACGGCTTCAGCAAGTGCTCTGTATGTGTAAATCAAATTTCCTTAGTAAGAACTGTTGGAAACAGGATATCTTCCTGTGTGTTTCCTACACATCTAATCAATGGAAATTACTCCCCAAGTCCAGAATCCCAGCCAGCTGCAAGAGACTTCTTCTGCCACCCCTCTGACAAGTCACCGTTTTCTCGCCACTGCTCCAGGGACCCTCTTGGAAGGACAGCCTTCACTCCAGAGGCTTCCGGTTTGGGAGGGAACCAAATATCATTGGTGTTTTTCTGTGAACTTGACAAGCAGCAGTATTATCTCAGACATGTGTACTGCTTTCAACCCGCTAACACTTACTCAACTGCCTGCTCTATGTCAGGCACTTACTTTCTGACCAATAAATAATTCCAAACAAAACACAAAATCAGAAGAATGGTAATAAATTATGTGTTGTAAATTACTTCATCTCACATATTTTATAAGGCTATGGAGAGCCTTGCTTTCAAGGCTGGTTTCGTGACATACTTGTTTAAAGAAAATGAAAGTAAAGCTTGCATTTTAATGGTTTGGAGTACACATAGGGTGCATTCGTTATGCTCAGCTGCTTATTTCTGGTACAGATAATAATTTTCATCCCATTGAAAAATCTAAATTTGTAAAATATTTGGTAAGCACTTAAAAATAGAGATCTGAATGAAATGGTGGCTTCTAGCATCTATAATGAGTAAGAATACTTTGAAAATTTTGTCAAATTAGACACAGCAAGTTTTCAGAGAAAGGAATGATGGAGGCTTTCATGATTAGGTGATTTGCCTCTTAAATTTAATAGGCTTTGAAACACAGTTAAAGGCCTCAGAAAACTCCGTGTGATCCAGCAACCTTATGTTAACCTGTGATTAAATCACATTCCTGAAAACACCTCAGAAAATGTCTTTTGATGAGAAACAATTCAATTCATACTCTGAAAGATGAGCTCCATCTCATAAAATCATTTTTTCAAAATCCTCAAAATATATTGCCAAGGTGAACATAAATTTTAACAATGTTTCTCTTTTGTGATCCAGAATTATAGATAATATGCCATTTTTTCCTCACTTTTTAAGCCAGATTTATTCTTTAAAAAAAAAAAAAGTTGGCTGGGCACAGTGGCTCACTCCTGTAATCCCAACACTTTGAGAGGTTGATGTGGGCGGATTGCTTGGGCCCAGGAATTTGAGATCAGTCTAGGCAACATGGCAACACCCTGTCTCTACAAAAAATAGAAAAATTAGCTGGGTGTGGTGGCACACGCCTGTGGTCCCAGCTACTCAGAAGGCTGAAGTAGGAGGATGGCTTGAGCCCAGAGGTCAAGGCTGTAGCGAGTGGTGATCGCACCACTGCACTCCAGCCTGGCTGACAGAGTGAGACCCCCATCTCAAAAAAAAATGATAATAATAAAATAAAAATAAAATAAACATTTTTTAAATTTTTAACTTTGTATTTATTTATTTATTTATTCATTTATTTATTGAGACATGTTCTCCCTGTGTTTCCTGGGGTGGTCTTGAACTCCTGGGCTCAAGCCATTCTCCTGCCTCAGCCTCTCAAAGTGCTAAGATCACAGGCATAAGCCACCGTCCGTGCTCAGCCAATCCAGCTGTATTCTAAATAATGACAATTCTCTGTCAAATAACCTGTATAGAAAGAGAAAATATTTAGTAAAAACTTTTCTATTCTTTATGATTACCACATTATTTTTAAAATATGCAAATTGTGCCCATTAAGTCATTTATTTTAAAAATATGTGCCAATGTAGTTATATATTTAAAAACATTTATTAAATTAAAACATATTAAAAATATTATTTTTAAAATATAGTCCCATTTAAAAAATGGGACTATGGCTAAGAAAATTTTACAATTATTTGCACCATTAATTAGTCAAATAATCAGTTTTTGGTAGTTTAAAGAGGAGGTATTTTCAGGCCAAAGTACTAAATAGGCTTAAGAATTGCGTTACAAATGGGATTCAGGCCTGAGAATAGAGCAGGAGCAATTTCCCTGTGAGCTCCTCAGCGTTGTCCGTAGGTTCTCCTGTAGCCAGTGTCCACACAAGAAAGCCCAGGGCAAGAGAATTGTCTGGCAGGCCCTGGACAACCAAAACTGCAAACTTACTGTTGACTAGAAATATCAGATATTTGTCATGCATACTTTCTTCAATAACTTTGACTTAACTATTTAGCTAACTGTCTTCTGTCAGGAGCCTGATAAACACTTTGAGTCTTAGAGAAATAATAAAAGATATGAACATTGCTCATTGTCCTGTATTCTCCACGTTTTCTCTAGGTCACTTCACTCTCTCAGATCAAATGACTAGGAAGTTGGGGGCGTTACTTTAGCTTCTTAAAGAAATATTTTTCTTCCAAATTAGTAGTCCACATGGTTGTTCACATTTTGTTAAGTGCTGGTTTAGGAAATGATTTTACAAAATAATTCCAGCTTTCTTCATGAAGGTAGTTTTAAAGAGTTATTACATTTTATTTTTACATGTTTTTAAAATTGAGAGCCGTCATCCTTTTTAGGAGCACAACCATTTCTAGAAACAAACCAGGATGTTTTCATTTAGTAGATAATGGTGTTATAAGGACACTCTCCTTTATAATCTTCCCCAAGGAAAAAGCAAACACAAAATACAAAACACCATTTCAGAAGAAAATGGTGTTATCTGTAAATCACATATATTTGTACAGTTCAAGAATACTTTCTATTGCTGACAGTAATGACTGTAAATAAATAATTTATCAGCCCAACTATTAAAAATAAAAAAAGCATGGGCAACATGATGAGACTCTATCTCTATAAAAAATTTAAAAATTAGCCAGTTGTGGTGGCACATGCCTGTAGTCCCAGCTATTCGAGACACTGAGGCGGGACAATCACTTGAGTCCAGCAGGTCAAGGCTGTGGTGCACTATGGTTGAGACACTGCACTTCAGCCTGGGCAACCCTGTCTCAAAAAAAAAAAAAAAGTCAAAAAGTAACATGTCGGAGAGAGTGCAGAGAAGAGGGAACACTTACACACTGTTGGTGGGTATGTTATTTAGTTCAATCTCTATGGTAAACAGCATGGAAATTTCTCAAGGAGCCTTAAATAGATCTACCATTCAATCCAGCAGTCTTTTGGTATCTACCCAAAAGAAAAGAAATCATTCAAAAAAACACCAGCCATTCGTATGTTTATCACAGCACTATTCACAATAGCAAAGACAGGGAATCAATCTAAGTGTCCATGAATGAATGAATAAAGAACATGTGGTATATTTACACTGTGGAATACTACTTCTCCATAAAAAAAGGAATAATATCTTTTGTAACAACATGGATAGAAATGGAGGCCGTTATTTTAAGTGAAACAAGGCAGACACAGAAAGGCAAACTGTATTAGTATATTTTCACACTGCTATAAAGATACTACTCGAGACTGGGTAATTTATAAAGGAAAGAGGTTTAATAGACTCACAGTTCCACATGGCTGGGGAAGCCTCAGGAAACTTACAATCATGGCAGACTGGGAAGCAGGCACATCTTACATGGTGGCAGGAGAGAGAGAGGAGAAGATGAAGTAGAAGAGCCCCTTATTAAAACCAGCAAATCTTGTGAGAACTCACTCACTATCATGAGGACAGCATGGGGGTAACCACCTCCATGATCTAATCACCTCCCTCCCTTGACATGTGGGGATTACAAATTGAGAGGAGATTTAGGTGGGGACACAGGACATAGAACTAAACCATATCACAAATATTGCATGCTCTCACTTGTAAGTGGGAGCTAAATAATGTGTGCACATGGATGTATAGTGTAGAATCATAAGCAATGGAGACTGGGAAGGGTGAGGGGGTGGAGGGGTGGATGACCAGAAATGACTTAATGGGCACAATTTGCATAATTTGTGCATTCACCATTACACAATATATGCATGTAACAAAATTGCACTTGTGCCCCATAAATATATACAAATTAAATGAAAATACATTTTTAAAAGAATGTATCAGCCCATGATGGTCATCTATATATGAACTTAATTTATATATTTTCTAACAATTATTCCTTTTTCATATTTATTAGCTGCTAGTCTACTTCTTAGCCAGTTTAAAAGAATGCCATTTGTAGAACTAAAGAATGATATTTACAAGAGTAATTTCAAAAAATAGGATGTATTCAGATCGATAAGAACAACAACAAAAAGTCCAATCATCCTGTTGTGTGCTAATGGGTCCCGGATACATTGTGTTATGCTTTTTCTTCTACCTGTCCCTGGTAAATATTGTTGCTGGAGGCAACGCATTGAGCCTCTTTGCATCCATTTTTCATAAACATTTCTCCATAATGACTGGGTACTTGAGTAATGATTAAACGTCACAAACATTCCCGAATGTTAGTCTTGTGAGCATACTGGGAAACGTGTGAATTTCAAAATAAGACTATAAATTATTTTCATGACTTTTTTCAGCTGGTGATCTCTCTCTCCAATAGAGCATAAACTGTCAAATGCTAACTGTTAACTCAAGTTGTTTCTTTCCTTAAAATAAGCTCACAAATATCTCTTTTTTTCTTCCTCCCTTACTTATAAATGTGAATACACACTCACAAAATAACAGGGCTTTGTTGTCACAGAAAAGTATTTAATCACACATGTTTCACGTCTTAGGCTTAAAAAAGCAGAGACGTGTCCGGAAAAATTGAATTAAAAACCTTGGAAATATATTGGTTGATTTTTATAAGTCAGAAGCTTCTAAGATGTGTTTTCTTACTGAAAGTTGACAGACCACTTTCTAAAGCATTTGCATAGATCTTCCAGGCGGAATTCTTATTGTGCCCGAAGTCTTAAATTGCAAATTGTACTGCAATGTAATGCCATCTACTGCATATTACTGTGTGAGAATACTTTGGAAATATCACTGAAAATCACAGGAGGCTGTGAATTCCGACTAAATTACAATCATAATCCTGCCAAGATCTTTGAGGAACTTGTACTATTTTATTAAGTACCCACTTAGATATATGCCAGGCTAATAATGAACTTGTAATCTCACTACTCAAATTCAGAAGAGGATAAATTAAAAATATTTTGAAATTATTTAATGTGGCTATTTCCAAGGACTATTGTATATGTAAAATGCATGCACAGAACTGTTTTGGAGAGTGAGGTGCAGGGTAAAAGGCACACTTGACTATTCAGACAGTCGTTCTGTGTCCAGCACATCCAGAACCCCAGGTGCCTGCAGCCGCCTCAAAGGCAACATGAGAAATCACGTCGGAAACCAGCGCCCTTGAGGAAATCATGAGTGGCTCAGGGCTGAGACGCTGGGAGGCTCATCCCATCTGGTCAGTCAATCAACCCCTGCAGACTTCAGCCATGAAGGAATGGTTTCCTGGGGTCAGACTCAATTTTTAAAGAGAAGCCAGACGTTTAGGTTTTCTGTATAAAAATGAAAATTGCTGGCTTTATTTTGTAAAACACATGCATGTTAAACAAAGTTGTCTTTAGGTTTTACATGAATTATAGCTTCTGGTTTGTGGTCTCTAAACAGCACATCTGAATAAAAGTCCCGATAAGAAAAATATATTTTAATTTTGAAATATTAATATAGTAAAAATTGATTGTGTTTGAAAATATATCATCCAAATTATCTTGTAATGACATAGGCAGCTGAGGTAGGAGGATCGCTTGAGCCCAGGAGTTTGAGACCAGCCTAGGCAACATGGCGAAACCCCATCTCTACAAAAAATACAAAAATTAGCTGGTTGTGGTGGTATGTGCCTGCAGTCCCAGCTATTCAGGAGGCTGAGGTAAGAGGATCTCTTGAGCCCAGAAGGTCGAGGCTGCAGTGAACTGGGATCCTGCCACCGCACTGCAGCCTGGGTGACAGAATGAGACTCTGTCTCAAACAGCAAAACAAAACAAAACAAAAAAGAAACAAAACATAAGACCAGTTTTTAACTGGTAGTATAAACCTTGTCAAGAGAAGATAGCAAAACAGAATCACCAATAATTGATGGGTTCATCCACAAGCATTTACTGAACACCTGCTATGACGTAAGATTAGGCTTGGAGAGATGAGGGACATAAGAGGGCTGTCAGGCAACATTCTTGCCTTCCAGGAGAGCACCCTGTGTTGTGTGCTTCCCAGCTCTCTCCAACCACGTCCTTCTTCTGTGACACTGCTTGGGGTCTCATATCCACCAATGCCCCCATCACACATCTCTCCCTTCACTGGCTTGCAGAGGACAATTTATCACAGAATGGGCTCCCCTGTCAAACTATTAATCCACATTAAGATGTTAATGGTTGACACTGATTTAATAAGTCACCTTCAAGAACACTTGAGTTTTCCAAAAGATGCTGGTGCAGTTTGTGGCCCTGGGTGGAGTCATGTTGGATGTTCCTGCATGGGGAAGAGAACAGGGCTAAGTCAATCCTTCCAGAAGGCCTTGCATTTCTTAAGTGTCTTTGTTGTAGCTGTTTCACCAGAAAGACAATGGGTTTGCCTACATAAATGTAGGCACATTGTTTTGTCTTTCATATTCAACATTTTTCTCTTTGTATCCACCATGGGATCATTCCAAGCACCTTCTCAACTCAATCCACCTGATCTTTGCACACTGTGGTGTGTTAGGGAAGGTGTGATAAAGGGTGGAGTTCTGTCAAATATCAGTCCTCTATCATATGAGAGTATGGGAGGTGCTTGACAACATCTGATAAGACTGTATCCCAGAGCTGCAAATCACCTTCCACTTTCTATTTTTAAAAGAAAACAGAAATAATGTGTTCATTGCCATTGTTTTAATATTCAATAGTTAATGATTTCTAATTTGTGACTACTGGTTTCAGTAACTGAAGGAAAAGAAGTCACCACGTAGCTGTTTGTTTCACTCCGTTGCTGCCTCTGGAATTCCATTCCAGGAGCTGTGATTTCCAGGGTCTTCAGAGGGCTCTGCAGCTCCAGCTTTGGAGAGGCAACAGCATTGAGGAAAAGTTTAATCCAGCAGGCAGCCCACAGTCCAGCTCTTGATGGAGCCATGGTTGGAAATTGAGAATTGACAATATAACTTCTGAAAACAAAAGAACTTGCAACTTTTGTTTTTTTAAATGAGTTATTCTTCAAATTTTAACTAGAATAGAATCATGAACTTAACTATACAAAAAATGCAAAAGATTATTATATAAAAGTAATTTTTATAACTTTTAGTCTTCCGATGTAGCCAAGTTTATCTACCTGTTTTTTATACTCCAAATATTTACCCTCTGTTAAACACAAATATACAAAAAAACACACACACATACATACACAGCTTACATTACTGTTGGTTTTGCAAAAGGGATGATGTACAGATTATTCTGCACTCTGTTTTTCACTGAAATACGGCTTCCTTCCATCCATGCATCAGTCCATATCTATCCACCCACCCACCAACTTATCTTTCTCCATGTCATAATATACAATTCATTTTGAAATACCTACGTAATAATTTTTACAATATGGAAGTTTCAGATTATTGTACTCCCTCTCTGTTGATAGACATTTCTGGTTTTGTTTTTGTTTTGTTTTATTTGCTATTAAAAATAATGGTATAATGAACACCCATGTGTCCTTATACCTGTAGCTTTTTGTATTGTTTGGTTTGTTTTTCTGTGCAAGAGTCTACTGAGAGTCGGATGATTGGGTCAAGGGATCAGTCTACTTTTATTTATAATAGCTGTCCTCATGTGACTTTCCTGAAAGGTTACACCAATTTTCCCTGTCACCACGTCAGGTGTCAAGTATGAGAGTACAATTTTGGTTATAACCTTGTCTCTAATGAATCTTATGACTTTTAAAACACTTCCGTGACTTTCTTCAGTGAAAAATTATCTCTAATGATTAACTTCAGTTTTTGTTTATTTGGGAAACAGTGAGTTATGACTAGTTTCCATACAGGCATTAGCCATTTTATTTTTTCTTCTGAATATTGTTAATGCCTTTTCTTTTGTAGCTGTTTAGTTTCCT